>NC_000015.10:90229156-90380672 GCF_000001405.40 Homo sapiens | reverse complement strand
AGGTTGGAAGAGTTTGGAGGGCTCAGAAGAAGATAGGAAGGTGAGGGAAAGTTTGGAACTTCTTAGAGACTGGTTAAATAGTTTCAACCAAAATGCTGATAGTGATATGGACAATGAAGGCCAGGCTGACAAGGTCTCAGATGGAAGTGAGAAACTTCTTGAGAACTAAAACAAAGGTCACATTTGTTGTGTCTTAGCAAAGAGCTTGGCTGTGTTCTGTCCACGCCCTAGGGATCTGTGGAACTTTTAACTAAAGGGTGATGATCTAAGTGTCTGACAGAAGAATTTTTTTTTTTTTTTTTTGAGACTGAGTCTCGCTCTGTCACCCAGGCTGGAGTGCAGTGGTGCATCTTGGCTCACTGCAACCTCTGCCTCCCGGGTTCAAGCAATTCTCATGCCTCAGCCTCCTGAGTAGCAGGGATTACAGGCACCCACCACCATGCCCAGCTAATTTTTGTATTTTTAATAGAGATGAGATTTCACCATGTTGACCAGGCTGGTCTCGAACTCCTGACCTCAGGTGATCCGCCCACCTCAGCCTCCCAAAGTGCTGGGATTACAGGCATAAGCCACCACACCTGGCCAGCAGAAGAAATTTCTCAGCAGCAAAGCATTGAAGTTGTGGCATGGCTGCTTCTGACAGCCTAACTTAAATGTGGGAGCAAAGAAATGACTTAAAGTTGGAATTTATATTTAAACAGGAAGCACAGCATAAAAGTTTGAAAAATTTGCAGCCTGGCTATGTGGCAAAGAAAGAAAAAGCTTTTTCAGGAGAGGAATTCAAGCAGGCTGTGGAGAGCCACCATTTGCTAGACAAATTTGCTTGACTAAAAAGGACCCAAGAACTAATTCCAAAGACAATGGGAAAAAGACCTCAAAGGCATTTTAGAGACCTTCATGGCAGCCTCTCCCATTATATGCCCAGTGGCCTAGGAGGGAAGAATGGTTTCCTGGACCAAGCCCAGGGCCCTGCTGCCCTGCACAGCCTTGGGACACTGCTTCCCACATCCAGGCTGCTCCACCTCTACCCACAGCTCAAAGGGGCCCAAGTACAGCTTGGGCTGCAGTTCCAGATGGTGGAAGCCAAAAGCCTTGGTGGCTTCCATGTAGTGTTAAGCCTGCGGTGTACAGAGCACAAGACTTGAGGTTTGCCACCCTCCACCTTGATTTCAGAGGATGTATGGACAAGTCTGGGTGTCCAGGCAGAAGACTGCTGCAGGGGTGGAGCCTTCACAGAGAACCTCTACTAGGTCAATGCCAAGGGGAATTGTAAGGTTGGCACACTGATATGGTTTGGCTGTGTCCCCACACAAATCTCACCTTGATTTGTAACAATCTCCACGTGTCAAAGGTGGGGCCAGGTGGAGATAATTAAATCGTGGCAGTGGTTTCCCTCATACTATTCTAGTGGTAGTGAATAAGTTCCCTGAGATCTGATGGTTTTATAAATGGGAGTTGCACTGCACAAGCTCTCTTGTCTGCTGCCATATAAGATTTGACTTTGCCCCTCATTTGCCTTCTGCCATGGTTGTGAGCCCCACCCCACGGTGGAACTGTGAGTCAATTAAACCCCTTTCCTTTATAAATTACCCAGTCTCGGGTATGTCTTTATTAGCAGTGTGAGAACAGATTAATACACATTCCCCACACAGAGTTCCCAATGGGGCACACTGCCTAGTGGAGCTGTGAGAAGAGGGCCACCATCCTCCAGATCCAAGAATGGTAGATCCAACAGCAGCTTGCACCCTGTGCCTGGCAAAGCCACAGGCACTCAACTCGAGCCCATGAGAGCAGTCATGGGTGATGAATCCTGCAAAGCCACAGGGACAGAGCTGCTCCATGCCTTGGGAGCCCACCCACTGCACCGGTATGCCCAGCATATGGGACATGGAGTCAAAGATTATGTTAGAGCTTTAAGATCTAATGACTGCCCTTCCAGCTTTCAAACTTGCATGGGGCCTGTAGCACCTTTCTTGTTGGCTGATTTCTCCATTCTGAAATGGGAATGTTTATCCAATGCTTGTACTATAACTGTCAGGCCTCACAGGATAGCTTTTCAGGAAATTGTAACCATGCTGTGTAGGCAGAATTCTGAGATGACTGCCCAAGATTCCCAATCCTTGGCTATTCAATCAAACACTAATCTAGGCACTATTTTGAAGGGATTTTGCAGATGCAATTAAGGCACTAAACAGTTGATCTTAAGATGGGGAAATTATCCTGGTCATCACATGAGCCATTTATAAGTAGAGAGATTCCTTTAGCTGGCAAAAGAAGTCAGAGACTCAAAGCATGGGATGGTTCAATGGGCCATTGCTGGTATTGAATATGGAGGGGTCCACATGGAAAGGACTTGAGAGCAGCCTCGAGAAGCTAAGAGTGGCCCCTGACTGATAGTCAGCAAGGAAACAGGGACCTCAGACCTATAACTGCAAGGAACTTGATTCTACCTATAGCCTAAATGAGCTTGGAAGCAGATTCTCCTCACAGTCTCAAGATAAGTCCTTAATCTAGTGGATATTTTAATCTTGACCTTGTAAGACTCTGAGCAAAGAACCCAGTCAAGCTTGCCTGTACTTCAATAGAAAACTAATACATACACTTAAGGAAACTTGAGTGTGTGGGGAGGGGGTTGGGGTGGCTTATAAGTAATGTTACCAAACATGCTAATGGTAAACTTTTGTATAAAAAGGCCTATGAGCTAGCTGGATACCCTGCTTCTCTCTGATAGGACTAACTCCATATAGTTCATGAGTCTTTTGAGCAGATGTAGTTCGTAATAAATCCGATACTCCATTTGGTCTATGTAATTACTGATCTTCTTTGTTTCTCTATACTTTGAACACCTTGGGCAAAGAGATAGAACACCTTGTTCTAGAAATAGAACAAAGGGTCAGTAAACTTCAGAATACCATCAAGTGGCTGTCTGTCAAGTACCAGTTTTCATCTTTGTGAAACTTCAAGTGTTACCTATCACTGCTTAACTCCTTAACCAACTCATTTGAGAGAAACCTATTTCATCTTGTCCTAAAGATATTCAGATATTCCGGATCTTGTGTTTAAGCACAGCTCCTGCCAGATATTCCAACTTCAGCCATTTCTTCAACTCTTGGTTTTTCAGATGGAGGAAAAGTTTTGAACTACCTGTTGGTAGTTGCAGCTATTTACCAACTGCTTACCATGTTCCAGAAAATGCTAGGTGCTTTATTTATATTGTCTCATTTAATCTTCACAATAACCCTATGAGGAAATATAATTATCCTCATTTTACAAATGAGAAAACAGGCACAAAGAGGTTAGATATTTTGCTTAAGGCCATAAGATTCAGAGTTAGGATCAAGCTTCCATCTCTCTGATTCTAAAATCTCTGTCAAATCATCATTCAACACCGTGTCCTAGTTTATGGACAGCATATCAATGAGCAGGTGTTCATTCACTTCTTAAATATGCCTAATTGCCTCTGAAAACCTTTCAACAAACATTTGTGAACACCCATATCCTAGTCTAGGAACAATATATAAAAACAGAGACCCGGAAGTTGTGGGAGGAAGCCAGGAAGTCAGCCCAGAATGGAGTTGGGGCATTGGTTTCCGGGCTGGGGTTAGAATAGGCCACAAGGTTCTACTGCAGTCTCAAGGCCTAAGACAAAGGACAAATCTAAAGATTCATCAAGAGACAGAAATCGCTCATAGGAATCATGAGCTCATTGGAGAGTCAGACCAAAGTATGGGGAAAGAGCGGTAAACGAGGCAGGGAACACCAGACCCCATCACAGGGTCAGAACCTGAGACAAGCCTGCATGGCAGGGTTCCCCACGGCAAACCCCTGAAACATCTACAGGGATGACAATGGGTTACTAGTAACAACAGCTAACTCATAATGAGTGCCCCTTAGGTCCAGTTGTAAGTATTTGATCTCATTTGACCTTCACAACAATCCTATGAGGTAGGAACTACTAGAATTTTCAATTTAAGGATAAGGAAACTGAAATCAGAAAGGTTAACAATGTTCCAAAAATTACACAACTAGTTAGTGACATACTCAGTATTCAAACTGCATTGGACCCAAAGCCCACATATGTGAACGCTATTCTCCACTAATGCACATGAGGACCTAGAGGGCTGAGTTGAAAGATTTGTGAGGCCACATCCACCAAAGAATGTGATGGACATAGACCTGACAAAGCACTCTCAAGAAGCTTTCAGACATCAAGATAGAGATCTAGGAGCACAGATAAGAGAACAGTTGATGGGTCGGGTGCGGTGGCTCAGGCCTGTAATCCTAACACTTTGGGAGGCTGAGGCGGGCAGATCATGAGGTCAAGAGATGGAGACCATCCTCGTTAACACGGTGAAACCCGTCTCTATTAAAAATACACAAATTAGCTGCGCCAGGTAGCAGGTGCCTGTAGTCCCAGCTACTCGGGAGGCTGAGGCGGGAGAATGGCGTGAACCCAGGAGGCGGAGGTTGCAGTGAGCCGAGATCACGCCACTGCACTCCAGCCTGAACGACAGAGCGAGACTCCGTCTCAAAAAAAAAAAAAAAAAAAGACTTTGCAGGGAAGACCTATGAAAAGGGTGAGAAAGGGCACAAGTTGCAGTAACAGTGTAAACAAAGCCAGAAAAATTGCAAAGGTGTGTGCGTGTGTGATCATGCCCTGATTCTTGTATAGTTAATTTCACCCCAGGCTTCTCAAACAGCACAGCCACATGATGTTTCAAAAAGTCCAAGTGGAACCTCTTCGGAAAGATGCCCCACCATTGGCAGAGGCTGTGACCTTTTTCCTCAGGTACCAGGGGTTGCTACATGGGGAATGGGTGGACACTGGGCTGTAAATACTGCGTCTGGAATTTATTCCTTTTGGTGGATGCTTGGTCTCGCTGACTTCAAGAATGAAACCACGGACCTTCACGGTGAGCGTTACAGCTCTTAAAGATGGTGTGTCCGGAGTTTGTTCCTTCAGATGTTCAGATGTGTCCGGAGTTTCTTCCTTCCAGTGGGTTCGTGGTCTCACTGACTTCAGGAGTGAAGCCGCACACCTTCGCAGTGAGTGTTACAGCTCTTAAAGGTGGCTCATCTGGAGTTGTTTGTTCCTCCCGGTGGGTTTGTGGTCTTGCTGACTTCAGGAATGCAGCCGCAGACCCTCGCATTGAGTGTTACAGCTCATGAAGGTAGTGCGGACCCAGAGTGAGCAGCAGCAAGATTTACTGTGAAGAGCGAAAGAACAAAGCTTCCACAGCATGGAAGGGCACCCGAGTGGGTTGCCTGCTGCTGGCTTCGCTGGCCAGCTTTTATTGCCTTATTTGGCCCCACCCACATCCTGCTGATTAGTCCATTTTACAGAGTGCTGACTGGTGCGTTTACAGTCCTTTAGCTAGACACAGAGTGCTGATTGGTGCGTTTTTACAGTGTGCTGATTGGTGCATTTACAATACTTTAGCTAGACAAAGAGTGCTGATTGGTGCGTTTTTAATCCTCTAGCTAGACAGAAAAGTTTTCCAAGTCCCCACCCAACCTAGAAGCCCAGCTGGCTTCACCTCTCAATACCTTCTTTCTTTATCACTCCTCATTTTCTTTACGACTGATATTTGGGTGGTAGAAAGCTCACATCCTTTATGGAAAGTCACCTTCCTATAAGCTCCTCTGGAAGTAGAGTACAGAAAAATCTAACTAGGCCTCTCATGAGATTACAAGCAATGAGTGACATTTCTACTACAACTTATAATGCCAGTGCAGGGCAAGGTAGAAACTGCAAGACTTCAGTCACTATTCAGTTATGTAAAGACTAACACGTGGGCACAGTGGCTCACGCCTGTAATCCTAGCACTTTGGGAGGCCATGGCAGGAAGATTGCTTGAGCCCAGCAGTTGGATACCAGCCTGTGCAACATGGTGAGACACCATCTCTACAAAAAATAAAAAAAATTAGCTGGGCGTAGTGGTGCATGCCTGTGGCCCCAGCTACTGGGGAGGCTGAGGTGGGAAGATCACTTGAGCTGGGGAGGTCGAGGCTGCAGGGAGCTGTGATTGCACCACTGCGTTCCAGCCTGGGAGACAGAGCAAGAACTTGTCTCAAAAGAAAAAAAAAAAAAGAGCTAGACAAGGTGGCTCACTCCTGTAATCTCAGCACTTTGAGAGGCCGAGGCAGGTGGAACCCCTCAGGTCAGGAGGTCCAAACCAGTGTAGCCAACATGGTGAAATTCTGTCTCTACTAAAAATACAAAAATTAGCCAGGCATGGTGGCATGCATCTGTAGTCCCAGCTATTTGGGAAGCTGAGGCAGGAGAATTGCTTGAACCCGGGAGGCGGAGCTTGCAGCGAGCCAAGATCACACCACTGCACTCCAGCCTGGGCAACAGAGCAAGACTCTGTCTCAAAAAAATTTTAAAAAAATTAAAAAAAAAGACTAACACAGGAAAAAACGGGAGAGACATATAGCTATGGAGCAATGTTCCTCCCTAAGACTCCAGTCAGTTCATTGACACATGTCCAGTTTGAATTTTTTTTTTTTTTTAAAAGAAAGGCCAGGTTGTACCACCTTCCTTACAATACAGAAACAAGCTCTCTCAACCACAAGCATCAATGACATTATCCAGTTTCGTGGAATCACTGGCAATGCCCCCATGTATCAGAATGTCTTCTGTGGCTGAATTTACATGTGAAGGTTAATTAAACAAAGCTTTATTTCAGTATCATGGCTTGTTTGCATTTACTCATTCATGTACCAACTGGCATAAGTGATACCTCCTCCAGGGAGCCTTCCTTGACTCTCAAGATAGCCCTTCTCTGGCTGACATATACTTCTTGTATTGAAACTATGTGTCTGGGCCGGGCATGGTGGCTCACACCTGTAATCCCAGCACTTTGGGAGGCCGAGGCAGGCGGATCACCTGAGTTCAGGAGTTTGAGACCAGCCTGGCCAACATGGCAAAAGCCTGTCTCTACTAAAAATACAAAAATTAGGTGGGTGTGGTGGCGCATTACTGTAATCCCAGCTACTGGGGAGTCAGAGGCAGGAGAATCGCTTGAACCCAGGAGGTGGAGGTTGTGGTGAGCTGAGATCACCTCACTGCATTCCGGCCTGAAGGACAGAGTGAGACTCTGTCTCAAAAAAAAAAAAAAAAAGAAAAAAGAAAGAAAGAAACTGTGTGTCTGTATGTCTGTTTCCCACAACCACTCTGTGCTCCTCAAGAGAACTGTCATGTTTATACCTGTATCCCCAGCACCCTCAACTAGGCCTGGATATAAGAGGTAATGAGTGTTTACTGAATTAAATTGAATAAATTAGAGAGATACAATGTGGGGTTCGACGTGTGTCCATATATTCTGTTTGTAACATGCCTCTGACTCTGGAGAGGGAAGACAGGCTATGCTGGCACCTAGACTCAGGCTTAGGTGCTAACATTTAGATGCTTCAGGTTTCCTTCAGTTGAGCCCAAGTCACCTGGATAAGGAAATTTATGTATTTTTAGTACATAAGTGACAGATTCAGGGCAAACTCAGTAATAAAAGCAAGCTTCTGGCTTCAAGATCCCAAGAGATTTTCTCTTAAAGAGTTTGGGCTGGACGCAGTGGCTCAAGCCTGTAATCCCAGCACTTTGGGAGGCCGAGGCGGGCAGATCACGAGGTCAGGAGTTCAAAACCAGCCTGGCCAAAATGGTGAAACCCCACCTCTACTAAAAATACAAAAATTAGACCGGGTGTGGTGGCTCAGACCGGGCGCGGTGGCTCAGACCGGGCGCGGTGGCTCACGCCTGTAATCCCAGCACTTTGGGAGGCCGAGGAGGGCGGATCATCTGAGGTCAGGAGTTCGAGACCAGCCTGGCCAACATGGTGAAACCCCGTCTCTTCTAAAAATACAAAAATTAGCCGGGCATGGTGGCAGTTGCCTATAATCCCAGCTACTCGGGAGGCTGAGGCAGGAGAATTGCCTGAATACAGGAGGCGGAGGTTGCAGTGAGCCAAGATCATGCCACTGCATACCAGCCTGGGCAACAGAGCAAGACTCCATCTCAAAAAAAAAAAAAAAAGAATTTTATAGGCAACTAAAATGGGTGGGACCAACCTGCCATCCCAGCTACAGAGAGAAAAGCCAAACATTAGTGGACTGGGACCTTACTGTGGATGAAGAATCTAGTATCTGGGGCGGAAAGCAAGGTCCTCCCAGGAGAAGAGCAAGAAAGGAAGGTTGATGCTAGAGCCCGTGGAAGGGTCTTAAATTCTACATTAAACGAGATTCTACTTTCGTCTGTAGACAATAGGAAATGATTTAAGATTTTATAAGCAGGGGAGGAGTAGGATTTGATTCAACAAAGATTTATGAAATGTTTACTTTTGTACTAGTATGAACAAGGGCATAAAGTTGAGTTAAACATAGTCACTGCCCTTTAGACAAGTACACAAGTGACTGTAATGCAAGATGAAATAAGAAGTGAGTGAAACCCAAGATGTAGAAAGAAAGGATTATAGAAGTCCAAAGGAAATCCTATCTGCTTGATAGAGGAGATCTGGAAATACTTTATGGAGAGGGAGGTGTTTTAATGGGGCCTTGAAGAATAGGTACTTTATAAACAAAATTCCCTGAAGAGGCAACATGAACAACAATAAACTTGTAAAAGTTGTGTAACTGCTGGGCACGGTGGCACACGCCTGTAATCCCAGTACTTTGGGAGGCCCAGGTGGGAGGATCACCTGAGGTCGGGAGTTCGAGACCAGTCTGCCCAACATGGCGAAACCCCATCTCGACTAAATACAAAAAATTAGCCGGGTATGGTGGCACATGCCTGTAATCCTAGCTACTCGGGAGACTGAGGCAGGAGAATTGCTTGAACCCAGGAGGTGGAGGTTGCGGTGAGACAAGATCGTGCCACTGCATGCCAGCCTGGGAGACAGACTGAGACTCTGTCTAAAAAAAAAAAAAAAAAGTTGGGTAACTTCCCCACTAATCAGGGAGATACTTTTTAACTTAATTTAATTTATTTATTTGAAACAGGATCTGGCTCTGTCATCCAGGCTGGAGTGCAGTGGCATGATCATAGCTCACTGCAGCCTTGACCTCCAGTGCTCAGGTGATCCTCCCACCTCAGCCTCCTGAGTAGCTGGAACTACAGACATCAGCCACCACGCCAGATAATTTTTATTTTTTTTTTTAGAGATGGGGTCTCACTATGCTGTCCAGGCTGGTCTTGAACTCCTGAGCTCAAGAAATCCTCCTGCCTCAGCCTCCCAAAATGTTGGGATTACAGGTGTGACCTACTATGCCCAGCTAAGACGCATATTAACACCACAATGATATATCATTTCATGCTCAAAAACATTTTATAAATAAAAATTTTACATATATAGATATATATGTATATATACATATATTTGCTTTTTTCTATATATATACATATATACATATATGTATAATACATGTATATTTATATAATACATATGCTTCCAATTAACTACTATAAATTTGTATTAGTAAATCCTTTGATTTTCATTAGTTTGTATGAGTATCATTATTGCTTAAGCAATATATTTAGTTTTGCCTGTTTTTTACCTTTACTGTATTTTTTTTTTTCCCCGAGATGGAGTCTCACTCTGTCGCCCAGGCTGGAGTGAGTGGCACAATCTTGGCTCACGGCAACCTCCACCTCCCAGGTTCAGGGGATTTTTCTGCTTCAGCCTCCTGAATAGCTGGGACTACACGCATGAGCCACCACGCCTGGCTAATTTTTGTATTTTTAGTAGAGACATGGTTTCACCATGTTGGTCAAGCTGATCTCAAACTCCTGACCTCGTGATCTGCCCGCCTCGGCCTCCCAAAGTGCTGGGATTACAGGCGTGAGCCACCGCACCTTCCCTGATCTTTACTGTATTTTTGCTCTTACTAAATATATATGTATGTATATATAGAGAGACAGGAAATAAAGCAAGTATATATAAAGGCATAGGAGTGAGAAATGCCAGACTCTTTTCCTAAGCTGTATAGTGGGTACGTGGTTGCTCTTTACACTAATTTTTGTATATTTTAATATTGATTTTTTTAAAAAAAGAGTAGATAGTAGTTCAGCAGGAGGAATTGAAGCAAGAAGCTATTCTAGAGAGAAGAAATTGTACTGGAGAGAGCAGGCTGTGTTCAGGAAACAAAGTGTCATCATTCTGCTTGGCAGAATAAAATACATTTTTTCTTTGTCATAAGAGCAGCAACTTGCATTTGTGCACTTTATAAAATACTTTCATGTGCTCCCACCAGTTAATTATCAACTTGAAGAACAAGTATTCCATTTGATAGATGAGGAAACAGGCTCAGAAAGAATAAGCGATATATTTGTGAATATTTTTGGCAGAGAAAAAGCTTAAAAGGATATACAACAAACGGTAGTGGTTATCTCTGGGAAGTGGAATTTACTCTGTTTGCTTAATTGTATTTTCTGATATTTCTATAAATGAACCTGAAGTAAAAAATAATAAAGCAGAGAGGGGGAAGGAAGACAACAGGAAAACAATGACTTCCTCAAAATCAAATGTTCATGTTTTCAGATTCCCAATCCTGCTCTGAGTTACTCTAATGAAAACAACAGAAGAAATACAAGAAAGATTCTAACATAGAAAAAAATGTTCAACCTCACTGGTAAGCAAAGAAATGCAAATTAAGACAATATGTAAGAATCATGTCTATTAAATTAGCAAAACTTTTTTAAAGATGAGGGTGTGATGAGACTAGTAGCCATTTACTGTTCGGAACACTGTAAATTGATACAATCACTTTAAAAATGATTCCACAGCAGCCAGGCGTGGTGGCTCACACCTGTAATCCTAGCCCTTTGGGAGGCCGAAGTGGGCGGATCACTTGTGGTCAGGAGTTTGAAACCAGCTTGGCCATCATGGTGAAACCCCATCTCTACTAAAAATACAAAAAATTAGCTGGGCATGGTGGTGCGCACCTGTAATCCCAGCTACTCGAGAGGCTGAGGCAGAAGAATTGCTTGAACCTGGGAGGCGGAGGTTGCAGTGAGCCGAGATCGTGCCACTGCACTCCAGCTTGAGTGATAGAGCAAGACCTGTCTCAAAAAAAAAAAAAAAAAAAAAAAAAAGATTCTGCAGCAAGTAAGGGAGGTGTAAAATTGTTCTCACCCTGTGAAAATAATCTAAAATGTGGAAACTTTTTTTCTGGGAAACAACAAAATGTTCACATGAGCATCTTTAATGCAGCAGGGCATCCCCCATTCAGACACCAGGTCCAAGATTGGCTGTTTATAGAAAGATGGCCTATAATCTTCTGGACATTTATCTGCTCTAATTTATATACATAAAGGAGCAGAGGGTGTTTTGGGGTTGGTTGGTGGGGCGGGGGGTTTGCTGAAGGAAATATAAGAAAATGTGTGTTTGTGCGTGTGTGTGCATGTGTTTGAGTGGGAATGAAGGAACTGATCTAGTGTGTCTGTTCAGGGCCCAGGCACTCAGATTACTCTTTTTCCCCCTCAGTATAACTCAATGAGATTTGAGTGAAAAAGATCAATCTCTGGAGAAGTGTTCTGTTTTCTTATTTGCTTTGTTTTATTTTTCTTGTGAAATACATTGTAAATGAAAAGCATATAAGTAATGCATATTAACAATTTAAATAATTATTTTACAAAGAAAACCTGTGTACTCGGCAGCCAACTTAAGAAACAGAAACTTTGATGGCAGAGGTGGGCGGATTACTTAAGACCAGGAGTTCGAGACCAGCCTGGCCAACATGGTGAAACTCCATCTCTACTAAAATTACAAAAATTAGCTGGGTGTGGTGGTGCATGCTTGTAATCCCAGCTACTTGGGAGGCTGAGGCAGAAGAACCACTTGAACCCAGGAGGCTGAGCTTGCAGTGATCTGAGATCCTGCCACTGCACTCCTGCCTTGGCAACAGAATGAGACACTGTCTCAAAACAAAACAAAAAAAGAAATAGAAACTTTGCATCTTTCTCTCCCATTCCAATTAATTACTATACTGAAGTTTGTATTAGTAAATCCTTTGATTTTCATTAGTTTGTGTATCCTTATTGCTTAAGCAATATATTGTTTAGTTTTGCCTCTTTTTTACCTTTACTGTATTTTTACTCTTACTAAATATATATTTCTATGTCTTGCTTTTTACACTCAATATTGTTTGAAGCTTGTCTGTGTTGATGCATGTAACTGTAGTCTGCCCATTTTCCTTGATGGATAGCATTCCGATATGTAAATTACCAACTTGCTCGGAGGTGCAGCCATTAAATCCTCATTTTGAGCAATCACCCCAAGTAAGACTGATGCAGGTGGACTTTTGCTCACACTTCGGGAATTACTGTCTTAGAGGACACAGTCCGAGCTCTTACCTCCCAGTTTCCCAAGTCTCTACATCAGCCTTTTAATTTTAGTAGAACTGTTTGTTTTCCTTTTCCAAAAATATTTTCTCATCATTCTTCGCCTAGATAATTCTTATGCTTTAAGTCTCTCCATTAAGCTATAAACTCCTCCAAACATTGTCATTATTATCATTGTTGTCACTGACATTTATGGAGCAGATACAGTGTACCAGGTAGTTAGTACAAAGAGTTTTACATGGATCATCTCATTAATGCTCGTCCAAACCCATGAAAAAGGTGCTGGGATTAGCATCATTTTACAGATAAGGAAGTAAGGGTCAGAGAGATTAAGTAACTTGCCCAAAGTTAAACAGCTCTGGAATGTGGATCTCTTTAACTATCTTACTTGTCTCTGAACCTCTAGGATCTAGGGTAGGACTTTGGTGTGTGGAAGGCACTTGATTAATGTCTGTTGAGCTGCACTGAAAGGAAAAGCCAAGGAGACCAGATGGAAAACAATCCGTTTAGTTCAGATGATGGCAGTGGGGATGGAAAAGAGGAGCTGGAAATAAGACTTGGCATGACAGACTATTACATAGCTGAATCTGGGGCGTGAGGTTAGGGCAGGGAATGAGGAAGGGACAAGGCATTTCCATTTTTTCACTTTGAGCACTTCTGTATTTTCTGGAAATGTTTACAACAAGCACGTGGTGCTTTAATAATTTTTTTTAAAGAAGAGAAAGTGTAGAGGCAGCAACTACATGACTAGGCACCAGCAAAATATAGAAAAAAAAGGACAAAAAGAAATCCAAGCTGACCAGCAGGCTTCTGGCAAGGCAATGTAGGAGAATGGGGAATTGAAGGCAGAAAGAGAAATGCCTGGGGGAATGCTTCCGGGGGAGATACTGACTGTAATTTGGAGAGTCTGCTTTTGGGAAGCAGCAGGTCATTCTGGGGAGGTCTCCACCAAGTAGCTAGACTTGTAGGTCTGAAATTCAGGAGAGAGGTTGAGCCAGACCCATGCTCTGAGAAATGATGGTTGAAGTCATAAGCTAAATGTGCGGAGCAAAAAAGAAAGAAGAAAGAAGACCTCAACCAAAGTGTTGACAGGGTCAGGCATATCTGAGTGGAAGAAGAAGAGGAGCCAGGCCAGGCGCGGTGGCTCATGCCTAGAATCCCAGCACTTTGGGAGGCCGAGGTGGGCAGATCACCTGAGGCAGGAGTTCAAGACCAGCCTGGTGAAACCCCCATCTCTACCAAAAGTACAAAAATTAGCTGGGCCTGTAGTCCCAGCTACTCTGGAGGCTGAGGCACCAGAATCCCTTGAACCTGGGAGGTGGAGGTTGCAGTGAGCTGGTGAGCCAAGATCCTGCCACTGCACTCCAGCCTGGGCAACAAAGCAAGACTTTGTCTCAAAAACAAAACAAAACAAAACAAAACAAAACAAAAAAATCCAGAGGAGCCAGGGAAGGTACTTGAAGAGGAGCAGCCAGAAATGTAGGAGAATCATCTCTCAACCTCATAGTCACCAATGGAAAAGATAATTTTTTTAAAAAGGCATATGGGCCTGGTGCAGTAGCTCACACCTGTAATCCCAGCGCTTTGGGAGGCCAAGGTGGGAGAGTTGCTTGAGGTCAGGAGTTCAAGACCAGCCTGGGCAACATAGGGGAACCCTGTCTCTAGCAAAGTTATTATTATTATTATTATTATTATTATTGGAGATGGAGTTTCGCTCTTGTCACCTGGGCTGGAGTGCAATGACACGATCTCAGCTCACTGCAACCTCCGCCTCCCAGGTTCAAGTGATTCTCCTGCCTCAGCCTCCCGAGTAGCTGGGATCACAGGCGCCCACGACCACGCCTGGCTAATTTTTGTACTTTTACTAGAGACGGGGTTTCACCATATTAGCCATGCTGGTCTCAAACTCCTGACCTCAGGTGATCCACTCGCCTGGACCTCCCAAAGTGCTGGGATTACAAGCATGAGCCACCACACCTGGCCTCTACCAAAAATTTTAAAAGGCCGGGCTTGGTGGCATGTGCCTGTAGTCCTAGCTGTTACTCAGGAGGCTGAGACAGGAGGATTGCTTGAGTCTGGGAGGTTGAGGCTGCAGTGAGCCATGATCGCACCACTGCTCTCCAGCCTCAGCAAAAGAATGAGACCCCATCTCTAAAAAATAATAAACATATGTAAATGGCATCAAACAGTAAAGAGTTGTTGAATCAGAAGAAGACTAACAAGAGGCCTTCAGATGTGGAAATTAAGTCTTTTTTTTTTTTTAAGAGACAAGTTCTAGCTCTGTCACGCAATCTGGAGTACGGTGGTATGATCACAGCTCACTGCAGCCTTGAACTCCTGGGCTCAGGCAATCCGCAATCCTCCCACCTCAGCCTCCCAAGTACTTGGGATGACAGGCGCACATCACCATGCCTGGCTAATTTGTTGAAACTATTTTTTGTAGAGACAGGGTCTGGCTATGGTGCCCAGGCTGGTCTTGAACCTCTGGGCTCAAGCAGTCCTCTGGCTTCGGCCTCCCAAAATGCTGGCATTACAGGTGTGAGCCACCACACTCAGCCCTAAAAGACCTTTGAGGGTCCAGTTGTAGAAGCATGCTAGGGTAAGTGGCCCTATTAAAAAGGCCTAGGCATGATAACCCTGAGAATATCTACATGTGAGTGGAAGTTTGACAAAAGGGGAAGAGAAGGAATGCGATGATAGGGTCTAGGAGGAATTATTTCGAGGTAAAAGAAGGGTTAGGGATCTTATCTTTTTGTTGTGGTGCCTGCCCTGGTGCTTGGTGATAACGACTCGCTGGAGACCTACTGCGTGCTGGGCACTGTGCTAAGCCCTTTACATCATGGATTGTCTCAAAGCCTTTAGTTTTTTTCTCCGTAATATGACCTACACACAGCGGCCAAATTGACCTTCTCAAGTGCGGATCGCGCCTCTCCTCTCCTATAAAACCACTAGCTACACCCTTTTCTCCAGAGAGTAAGATCCAAACCCTTTAGTTTGGCAGCTAAGAACCTTCTTGGTGTGACCTTCACTCACCTGTCCAGTTTTGTCTCACTCTGCTGCTTTTCCAGCACAATGAGATCCTTGCCCATGAGCATGCACTCATTAATTCATCCAGTAAACACATATTGAGCACCTACCATGTGCCAGGCACTGTTCTAAGTGCTGTGGAAAGAATGGAAACAAGAGAAATGACTCCCACCTTTCGTGGAGTTTACCAAAAACAAATCAATTAATAAGAAATTGCCAGACAGGTGTAAGGACTTTGATGAAAAAAGAGGATAATGTGATGGAGGGTGACTAATTTAGATGGGATAGTTAGGGAAAGTCTTCCTAAGGAGATAGGTTTAGGCTGAAACCTGGTTGACAAATAGGAGGCAACACAAAGGACTGGGCGAGGAACATTCTGGGCAGAGGGAACAGTTAGTACCAAGGGTCTAAAGAGCACACAACCTTGGCATGACCAAGGAGCAGAGAACTCAAGAGTGCTGAGGTGAGGCAAGGGAGAGGGAAGGGGATATCACAAGAGGATGGAGGGGGAGGGGACAAAACCACAAGGGCCTCTTAGGCCTGGGTAAGGATTTGGGTCTTCATTCTAAAAGCAATGGAAAGCTGCTGAGAAGTGATGTGATTCGATTTAGGATTTTAAAAGTTCACTCTGGTTTCTGTGAGTGAAACCAGTTTTTTCAGAGCAAAAATCATATCAGGAAGATCAGTTTGGAGGCTGCTACAGGAATTCAGGTAAGAGACTGGTCATTTGGTACTGAAGGGTGGCAGTGAAGATGGACAGATTTGACAGATAGGTTCGAGAGGAATCTGGGAGGTAAAATTAATGGGGCTTGGTGATGACCTCAATTTTGGAGTGAGAAAGAACGGATGTGTGGAGCATGTTCAAGCAGTGAATCATCTAGTCATGAGGTAGAAACAAAAGAAAACTATAGAAAGGGTTACCTCCACTCTCAGCAATAGCATTGAAATATTCCCTGCTCATGGCTGGCGGGGGAGTGGGGGGGGGTGGGCAGGAAGACAGGGAGGAGGGAGGGGATTGGCAGGGCCACAAAGCAAATCTCACATTGCCCTTCGAGAGCTCACATTTTACCATAGCCAAACAACATGAAAATCAAAGTGATAGGTGGCCAGGTGAGGTGGCTCTCGCCTGTAATCCCAGCACTTTGGGAGGCCAAGGCAGGTGGATCACCTGAGGTCAGGAGGTCAAGACCCGCCTGGCCAACATGGTGAAACCCCGTCTCTACTTAACATATAAAATTAGCTGGGCATGGTGACATGCATCTGTAATCCCAGCTACTCCGGAGGCTGAGGCAGGAGAATCGCTTGAACCTGGGAGGCAGAGGTTGCAGTGAGCCAAGATCATGCCATTGCACTCCAGCATGGGCAACAGAGCAAGACTTCACCTAAAAAAAACAAAAAACAAAAAAACCCTCACATCTTACAATAGCTGAACAACATGAAAAACAAACAAAATGATAGGTGGCCAGGCACGGTGGCTCACACCTGTAATCCCAGCACTTTGGGAGGCTGAGGCAGGCAGATCACCTGAGGTGAGGAGTTCGAGACTAGGTGTGATCTCAGCTCACTGCAGCCTCCATTTCCTGGGTTCAAGTGATTCTCCTGCCTCAGCCTCCCAAATTGGTGGGATTACAGGCACATGCCACCACACCTGGATAATTTTTGTATTTTTAGTATAGGTGGGGTTTTGCCATGTTGGCCAGGCTGGTCTCAAACTCCTGACCTCAGGTGGTCCACCCGCCTCGGCCTCCTAGAGTGCTGGGATTACAGGTGTGAGCCACTGCACCCGGCCTGAATCTGCATTTCTAAAAAGTTCCCAGATAATGCTGATGCTACTGGACTGGGCTCACAGTTTGAGAACCACTGCACTGGATTAACTAAAAAAAATTTTCTGGTCAATTATCTAATGATGCTTTCAAAAACTGAGGTAAGGTTATCAGCTGAGTTCTATCCTTCATGAGCCACAGCACTCAGATGGCATTCCATATAATGGAAGAGAATGAAAGAAAAGAAACCTTTAATCCACCACTTTGCACTCTAAAAAGTGATAACTACCCAGCTCCCTCCTTAACCCCTTGCATTTGCGCTCACTCCTCCACCCCCATTCCACCAGGATCAAGGACCCCAGCACAGGTTCTTGCAAAGCTCCCTACAACTTAGACTACACCCTCCATCATTTCCAAATTCAGACTGGTTTAATGGATATAATATGGGTCCTCCAGTCCTGTAATGTCTCACAGGCACTGTAACAAATCCCAGAGCTGGTCTGTTGTTGCAGAGGAGGACTGCAGGCTGGAAATCTAGTGACTTGCAGCCAAATCTGGCTCTTCTGTTAACTACGTGGCCCATGATGAGTCATGTCATTTAGCATTTTTACGCCCTAATTTTTCAACAGTTTTTTTTTTTTTTAATCCCTCACTATGAGAGAAAAAGGAATACCTAAAGAAATATTAGCCAAAATTTTCTTGGAAAAAAGACATTAGCAACAGAATTATAACATAGAGATATTACATTTATAGTTAACCAACAAAGTGTGTGTGTGTGTGTGTGTGTGTGTGTGTGTGTGTGTATTTTTAGATCCTCACAACAACCTTGTGAGGTAGGTAAAACTTGAGGCTGGGAGAAGATGAAAGTCTGGCCAAATTAAGCGTCAGGGCCAGGACTCAAATACTTTACCTTCTCAATGAAGTCGGTGTTCTTTCCAACACACTTGCCGTCCCTCAATTTATTTCAATTGAATGTAGGAATGTACTAGTGCATAACCTGGATGGCCCTAAAAGGATCAGAGAATTATATTAACCTAAAACTAAATGGCCAATGACCCAGCAAATTAGAAAACAAGAGTTGCTTCCTTCAGCTAAATGCCAGGGAGGATCCCTGTAATATCATTTGACATTCTCAGCAATTTTGCTTCCACAATTTTATAGTCCTCTACCAGGTCCCTCTGGCTTGTTCATTGTAGGATATTTTCTCTGTGTCAGATGACAGCAAACCTCTGGTAGATACACTGCCATACACTGCCATTTAAAAGAGCTTCTGAAATTCTTTCAGCCTCCAAGTCACAAGACCGCAAACATCCTCTACGATAATTTGGCCTTGTCATGGCAGTGAGACCTCTGGTGACTAATGCCTGCACAGCACTGAACTGGCAGTGCATTTCCATTTTATTCAATTTGTGTATTCCAACCCCAAACCTTCTAGTTCCAATCTAATTTCTTTCACGTTCTGAGTTTGGGGCGGGGGGACTACACTAATAAATTTCTAATTGAGTAATAAGACTGATAAAAGCCACCAATCTTGTACTGAGTGTCTTTTAAGGGCCAGGTACTGCATTAAAGCCTTTATATAAGACCTCAACTATTAATCATTAATAATGATGGGACCATTTAGTTATTGAGCATCTATGTTGTGCCAGGCACTGTACTAGGTGGTGAACATGTGATCTCTAGGCCACATTTTTCTCACTTCTCATTTAGTAACTAGGCATCAACTTTTTAATTTTTTTGGAGACAGAGTCTCTCTCTGTTGCCCAGGCTGGAGTGCAGTGGCATGATCTCAACTCACTGCAACCTGCACCTTCTGAGTTCAAATGATTCTTCTGCCTCGGCCTCCCGAGTAGCTGGGACTACAGGCACGTGCCACCATGCCCAGCTAATTTTTGCATTTTTAGTAGAGATGAGGTTTCACCATGCTCACCAGGCTGGTCTCAACTCCTGACCTCAAGTGATCCACCCACCTTGGCCTCCCAAAAGTGCTGGGATTACAGGGGTGAGCCACCACGCCTGGCGGGCATCAACTATTAAACTCACATTTCCCTAAGAGTCAGTCACACACTGAAGGAATGCCTTTTGTATTCGGACCGTTATTTGGACCCTTTAAGTTTATCCTCTCTGTTATAACATAGACAAGAAAGAGGGAGAATAGATCAGGGCCCAAATTGAGCCACTGACGCCCAGGTTTTCTCTATTTGGGGTGCTTGAAGACAGTAGCAATGAAAATGTGCAAGGGAGCAGCTGAACACCAAAGACTACTTCCTAAATCAAATGGGTGTTTTGATGGCATAAAAGATGCGCTTTCTGACGGAAGCTCTTGTTACATTTACTACAGTGGAAAGGTTTTTCTCCTGTATGCGTTCTCTGGTGTGTGAGGAAATGGGAACGCTGATTGAAGGTCTTGCCACACTCAGGACATCGATAGGGCCTGTCTCCTAAGTGGATTCGCTGATGGGTAATAAAGTGGGAGCTCTGATTGAAGCTCTTCCCACACTCTCCACATTTGTAGGGTCTTTCTCCGGTGTGGATTCGTTGGTGCTTAATGAGGGCGGAGCTGTCGGCGAATCCTTTCCCACAGTTTTCGCACTTAAAAGGTCTCTCACCTGTGTGTGTTCTTTGGTGCGTGACCAAATGTGAGCTCTGACTGAAGCTTTTGTGGCAGTCAGGACAACTGAAAGGCCTCTCTCCTGAATGAGTGCTCATGTGAGCTACAAAATGAGAACTATCTCTGAAGCCCTTCCCGCACTCCGGGCATTTGAAGGGCCGTTCTCCCGTGTGGGTTCGTTGGTGCTTAATCAAATCCGAGCTCTGGCTAAAACTCTCCCCACAGTCATTACACCTGTAAGGCTTCACCCCTGTGTGGGTCCTCTGGTGAGTGATGAAATTTGAGCTTCGACTGAAGCTTTTGTGACATTCCAGGCACGCGTAGGGCTTCTCGCCTGTGTGGGTTCTTTGGTGCATTATGAGGTGTGGCTTCCGCCCAAAAGTCTTTCCACACTCTGGGCACTCATAGGGTCTCTCCCCTGTGTGGGTTCTCTGATGTTTGATGAGTGTTGAGCTGTCGCTGAATTTCTTCTCACACCCCTTGCATTGGTAGGGCTTCTCTCCTGTGTGTGTTCTGCGATGGGTGACAAGGTCTGAGCTCTGTTTGAAGCCTTTCCCACACTCAATGCACGTATAGGGCCTCTCGCCAGTGTGGGTTCTTAGGTGTCTTATGAGATAGGAACTCTGGTTAAAGCTTTTCCCGCATTCTGCACACATAGGCTTCTCTCCTACATATCCATCCAGGAGCTTGTTTAAATCCCTCTCCTGTGAAAAGGACTCCAGCTGGCCCTCTCCTGGAAGGGTTCCATGTTGCCCTTCTAATTCTAGGCCTTGCTCCCAGTTTCCTCCCCAACTAAGAGTATGAGAAAGATCTTTATTGGTCCTTTCTGAGGATGTTCCACATTGTTCTGCTGTTTCAGAATTGTCCTGATTGAGCTTTGCCACCTGATGCTCACAGTCTGAAAAATTAATGTAAGTAACAGAGAATAAAGTTATCAGTTATCAGGAAGGAATATCAGAAAGCAGTGACAAAGATTAAAATCCCTGTTTCTGCAGCAGACTGCACTTAATTCAACCGCTCTGTTTTCACTTTGTGAAAAGTTTATTGAGGTTCATTGAGCTGTCAGAACACGTGAATTCCTAAACTTTTTAAATTTTAAGATGGCCAGATGAATCTTGATATCCTTCAAGCGGAGACCACATATTGTCAATATTGTGCGGTTTCTTTAGAAGATATTATAGGTTTAGGCCAGGCGTGGTGGCTCACGCCTATAATCCCAGCACTTCGGGAGGCCGAGGCAGGCAGATCACTTGAGGTTGGGAGTTCGAGACCAACCTGGCCAACGTGGTGAAACTCCATCCCTACTAAAAATATGAAAATTAGCTGGGCGTGGTGGCGGGTGCCTATAGTCCCAGCTACTTGGGAGGCTGAGGCAGGACAATCACTTGAACCCGGGAGGCGGAGGTTGCAGTGAGCAGAGATTGTGTCACTGCACTCCAGGCTGGGAGACAGAGGGAGACTCCATCTCAAAAAAAAACATAGGTTAGACAAAAGTGAAATGCTTAATCAAAATGAAGACTTTATTTAGTCAACTACTGACCATTAAGTCAAATTTAAATGTCTGCTAGTGGCCGGGCGCGGTGGCTCACGCCTGTAATCCCAGCACTTTGGGAGGCCGAGGCGGGTGGATCATGAGGTCAGGAGATCGAGACCATCCTGGCTAACAAGGTGAAACCCCGTCTCTACTAAAAATACAAAAAATTAGCCGGGCGCGGTGGCGGGCGCCTGTAGTCCCAGCTACTCGGGAGGCTGAGGCAGGAGAATGGCGTGAACCCGGGAAGCGGAGCTTGCAGTGAGCCGAGATTGCGCCACTGCAGTCCGCAGTCCGGCCTGGGCGACAGAGCGAGACTCCGTCTCAAAAAAAAAAAAAAAAAAAAAATGTCTGCTAGTAAGAACAAAATTCTAAGGCAGCATTCCAAATTCTTCATCTAAACAAGGCTGAAATGCTAGATTTCCTTCCACTGGGGAGCACTCACATCTCACCTGTGTGGCTTTCCCTCGGGATCTTCCTCGCCTCAAAGTTTTGGAGTGGTAGGACCCATGGCTCTTCTTTCTGCTCCGGCTGGGAGATTACACTAGGCCTGGAAATTCTACACAGGAATGTAAACATAGGATGTGAGTCTGAGCCAATCACACAAGGCCTGAGCAAAATCCAAGCCCTACTCCCTGCCTAGGTATGGAAGAACACCTGGGGAGCTCTAACGTGTATTTGGTGTCATTAAAAAAGTGCAGCCATGGTACAGTGATAAAACACGGTGATTTCCCCAAAATGTTAAGAAAAAAAAGCCCTTTTCCTCCCATAAAGAAAAAAAACCAGACTCAGGTGACAGAAACTCTGAAGTAAATACAATAACCATTTCTGAAGGTACAAGGCTAAAGCTAAATATGGAGAGGATTTTATCAGAAACCAAGCCTCCATGACCTCACCCTTAGAAACAATGAAGGAAGTTAACTATAATGTTGGGCTTTAAAATTTTCCCAGAATGGCAGCAGTCAAAAAAGCCATGAGAAAAAGACAAACAGTTGTTAAGTAGCCTGTAAATATACGAAAAATGTTTAACCTCACTATAATCAAAGAAATTCCATTATAACAATGATACACTGAGGCAATATAGTGTAGAGGTAATGAGTGCAAACTCAAGAGTCACACTGCCTGGGTCTGAGTCATCATCCTGCCTCTTACAAGCTGTGTGGCCTTAAGAAAGTTACTTAAACTCTGTGTCTCAATGTCTTCATCAATAAAATAGGGATAAGAGGCCAGGCTCAGTGGCTCACACCTATAATCCCAGAACTTTGGGAGGCCGAGGCAGGCGGATTACGAGGTCAGGAGTTTGAGACCAGCCTGGCCAACATAGTGAAACCCCGTCTCTACTAAAAATTAGCCGGGCATGGTGGCACAGGCCTGTAGTCCCAGTTACTCGGGAGGCTGAGGCAGGAGAATCGCTTGAACCCAGGAGGCAGAGGTTATGGTGAATCGAGGTCACACCACTGCACTCCAGCCTGGACGACAGAGAGAGACTCCATCTCAAAAAAAAAAAAAAAAATTGGGATAAGAATAAGATCCATTGGCCAGGTGCAGTAGCTCACACCTGTAATCCCAGCACTTTGGGAGACCAAGGCAGTTGGATCACTTGTGAGGCCAGGAGTTTAAGAGCAGCCTGTCCAACATGGAGAAATCCTGTCTCTACTAAAAATACAAAAATTAGCCACGTGTGGTGGTGCACACCTGTAATCCCAGCTACTTGGGAGGCTGAGGCATGGGAATTGCTTGAGCCTGGGAGGCGGACGTTGCAGTGAGCTGAGATTGCACCACTGCATTCCAGCCTGGGCAACACATTGAGACTCCATCTCCAAAAAAAACTTCAATAAATGTTAACTATTATTGCTATTTTTCCCAGACTCTTTTTTTGTGTTTTGTGTGTGTGTTTGTTTGTTTTTGAGACAGGCTCTTGCTCTGTCACCCAGGCTGGAGAGCACTGGTACAATCACAGTTAACTGCATCCTCGAGCTCCTGGCTCAAGCGATTCTCTCACCTCAGCCTCCCAAGTAGCTGGGACCAGAGGCACAAGCCCCTACACCTGGTTAATGTAACTTTTTGTAGAGACAGGGTCTCATTATGTTGCCCAGGCTGGTCTGGAACTCCAGAGCTCAAGTGGTCCTCCTGCCTCAGCCTCCCAAAATGCTGGGATTATAGACATGAGCTGCCACACCCAGGCCCAGACTCTTTAAATTATAATACCCACTGTGAAAGGTAGAATATAAAGAAATGCGCACTTTCATATAATGTTTGTGGGAATAAATCAATTGATTCAATCTTCTTGGAAGGCATTTTGCAAAGTATTAAATACCTTAGAAATGTATCTGTTCTTTGACCCACCAATTCTAATTCTGAGAATTCTAAGAAAATGATAAAATTATACTTCAATAAAAAATACTTTTTAAAAAACGAGCTAAAAGATGTTTATCACAACCTGGTGAAAGTTTAGAAATGACCTAAATGTCCCACAACAAAGGAATAATTATATAGCTCACTGCAGCCTCGAACTCCTGTGCTGAAGGGATCCTCCTGCCTCAGCCTCCCAAGTAGCTCAGGCAATTGCTATTTTTATAGGTTAAAAAAAGGTCAGATATATGGTTCAATCTAATGTTTGACTTCATCAACAAAATAATATTGTATTCCATAAAACAAAATACTAGGTGGTTATTTTAAGTGATGTAAAGAAAGATATACTCACAATACAACATGGAAGAAAGAATGTACAGCTGAATATACAGCATAATCCCAATATTATTCTTTTGTGCTTCTTTTAAAATTGTATATATGCTTAGAAAAATGCTGGTAGGATAGTAACTCTTCATTGGTGGGATTAGGGATGATGTTTGTTTTCATTTTGCTTGACTTTTTATTGAATGAGTATACATTACTTGTATAATAGATGAAGTAGGCCAGGCGCAGTGGCTCACACCTCTAATCTCAGCACTTTGGGAGGCCAAGGCCAGCGGATCACTTGAGGTCAGGAGTTCAAGACCAGCCTGGCCAACATGGTGAAACCTCGACTCCACTAAAAATACAAAAATTAGAGCTGGGCCCACTCCTATAATCCCAGCACTTTGGGAGGCCGAAGTGAGCGGATCACTTGAGGTCAGTAGTTTGAGACCAGCCTGACCACATGGAGATAACCCATCTCTACTAAAAATACAAAAAATTATCCAGGAATCGCTTGAACCTAGGAGGCAGAGGTTGCAGTGAGCCGAGATCATGCCATGGCACTCCAGCCTGGGCGACACAGCGAGACTCTGCCACAAAAAAAAAAAAAGAAAGAAAGAAGTAAAGCAGGAGGAAGGGTAGCCATGATATTTGAGAAAGAGCATTGGAGGTGTTTTTGGTTTTTTTTATTTATTTTTTTTTTTTTGAGATGGAGTCTTGCTCTGTCGCCCAGGATGGAGTGCAGTGGCATGATCTTGGCTCACTGCAAGCTCCGCCTCCCAGTTCACGCTGTTCTCCTGCCTCAGCCTCCCGAGTAGCTGGGACTACAGGTGCCCACCACCATGCCTGGCTAATTTTTTGTATTTTTAGTAAGACGGGGTTTCACCATGTTAGCCAGGATGGTCTCGATCTCCTGACCTTGTGATCTCCCTGCCTTGGCCTCCCAAAGTGCTGGGATTACAGGCATGAGCCACCGCGCCCAGCCTTGTTTTTTTTTTTTTTTTTTTTTTTGAGACAGAGTCTTGCTCTATTGCCCAGGCTGGAGTGCAATGGCGTGGTCTCAGCTCACTGCAACCTCCACCTCCCAGGTTCAAGCAATTCTCCTGCCTCAACCTCCAAAGTAGCTGGGATTACAGGCGCCCGCTATCACACCCAGCTAATTTTTTTATTTTTAGTAGAGACAGGGTTTCATCATGTTGGCCAGGCTGGTCTCGAACTCCTGACCTTATGATCCGCCCACCTCAGCCTACCAAAGTGCTGGGATTACAGGCGTGAGCCACTGCCCCCAGCCTGTTTTTAAGTGACAGAAAAAATTACCTCCTTTTCCACAAAGACCTCAGAAGTCTCAGAAGTTAAGTGGCAGAGGTGAGAGTCCAACCCAGGCTGGAAAAGGGGGATAGTAATACATAAGTCAAAAAGTTATGATGAGATATTAAAAGGACAATAAATAGCAAAGACATTTGCAAACCATAAAATGCATAAGGAAGTAATTGTTTTTCTCCCAAGGAGGCAACAATTAATCTTACAGAGGTCTGGAGCTCTAAGATGCCAACATACCAGAAACTCCTCAGACCTGGGCCCTCTCCAAATATCTAAGTCTCAAATTAAAGGAGAGCAGTGGTCAGGCATGGTGGCGCCCATAATCCTAGCACTTTGGAAGGCGGAGGCCAGTGGATTGCTTGAGCTCAGGAGTTTGAGACCAGCCTGGACAGCATAGTGAGACCAGCCTTGCCAACATAGCAAAATCCTGTCTCTACTAAAAACACAAAAAATTAGCTAGGCATGGTGGCACATGCCTGTGATCGCAGCTACTCAGGAGGTTGAGGTGGGAGAATCGCTTGAGCCCAGGAGGCACAGATTGCAGTGAATCGAGATCGCGCCACTGCACTCCAGCCTGGATGACAGAGCGAGACCCCGTCTCAAAAAAAACAAGATAAATAAATGAAATAAAGGAGAGTAGCATTCTTACCCTTTGAGAGCCCATTCTTCTAACTGTGCTGGGTGGCATTCCTGGAGAGGATTCTCTAAGCAGTGTCCAGGTAACCCACTCTTCCCTGAAGTCCCCAGCCACATTATCAAGCGTCATCAGTTCCTAAAGCAAGAGACCTCAATGTGCATCAGTAGCTCCCTAGATATTCTCACCATTGTCTGAAAGCCAAAAAATGGCCACCAGTGTACACAAACAACCCCCCACACCTGACCAGAATGGTCCTGAGGTAAATTCTGTCAACCACAGAGGGGTGCTTTTCTAAGTCTGTTTTTACATACGTCTTCTCCTGGCCAACTTTCCCATTACTAAGAGAGGCCTAGGCCTCCCAAACACATCGACAGAACCCAGTCTTTTAGACACATTGACTTTTTGAGGAACAAATTGTCCACGATGAACAAGGTAAACAAAGGAGAGAGTTGGCAGGTGTAATTTGATTTCTGGAAAGCTTTTGATTCTCCCCAACTTCATTTTCCTCAGCAAGCAAGGAAATTGTGGCCTTAACTATACTCATATTAGTTATGGGAGCAGCTAACTTCTTGGCTTGCAGATTTGGTGTCAACCTCAAGGGACAGATTATACAGAACCCCAAAGGGAACTGTGTTGGATACCATTCTATTTCAAGATCTTAATGGAGTCAGAAATAAGACTGAAAAAGACATTTTTTTTTTAAAAAAAAGAAGACATGGATAGGTTGTAAAAATAAGTGAAAGTGGGAATAAGCACAAAACACAACTCTTAGGGGCTGAAACCAATCATTAATATATTAATAAATCGACAGCAATATCATGAAAAACATTACTTTTTGGAGGATAGTCAAGAGTGAATTACTGGATGGATCAGTCATTTATTCAACAATTAATATGTTGCCAGGCATAGGAGTCACATAGAAATTAAGATAATGTTTTTTCCCTTAAAAAGTTTCCAATAAACCAGCCTCAGCAACATATTGAGACCTCTTTCTCTACAAAGAACTTTTAAAAATCAGCCAGGCATGGTGGCATGCACTTGTGGTCCCAGCTACTCAGGAGGCTGAAGTGGGAGGATCACTTCAGCCCAGGAGTTCCAGGCTGCAGTGAGCTATGATGGCGCCACTGCACCCCAGCCTAGCAACAGAGTGAGCCCCTGTCTCTCCCTTAAAAAAAAAAAAAATGCAGCCAGCATGACCACCCACTACAAAGAATATTGCATTTCAAGGGAGGAAGGACCAGACTGTGGTGAAGAAGTTTTACTCTTTCACATCTTTTGTCCCACTACAAATCACCTATTTACTACTGGAACACACACACACACACACACACACACACACACACACACACACTTTTGGGGGAAATATTTTTGTATTTACAGACATTATTATTGGTCATTTATAAAGTATTGAGTTTTTAAGGATCTAAAAACCATCTCTCTGGTTTAAAACTTTAACAAACAACAATAATGTAATTAGAAAGTAAAAATTGTAATAAGAGTTTTCAGTATTGGCCAGGTGCTGTGGCTCATGACTGTAATCCCAGCACTTTGGGAAGACGAGACGGGCGGATCACCTGGGGTCAGGAGTTCGAGATCAGCCTGGCCAACATGGTGAAACCCTGTCTCTACTAAGAATACAAAATTAGCCGGGTGTGGTGGCACACGCCTGTAATCCCAACTACTTGGGAGGCTGAGGCAGGAGAATCGCCTGAACCCGGGAGGTGGAGACTGCAGTGAAAGGAGATAGCGCCATTGCATTCCAGCCTGGGCAACAAGAGCGAAATTCCGTCTAAAAAAAAAAAAGAGTTTTGAGTATAATTTTTATTTCTACATTCATTACAAAACACAGCTGCAGGGCCCACTTGCTGGAGACAGCGCCACTGAGGAGGGGAGACGTCTTAGCCACGGTTATAGAAACCCTGTTTCCCAGCCCGTCCCTTTCCCCATGCACAGGTGACCTCAAAGGCCCCACAGCGCTGAGGGGCTGTGACTAAGTGCCACTGTGAGAAGCTCCAGTGCGTTCACCGGGTTTATTAATAGGAACATGACTGCACGCGTGGGGCCGAACCCCGTTCTTCTTCTCGGTGCTCGCGCCCTAACCGGGGTGCGGCGGTCAGAGGGTCACAGATCAGCTGAAACCCTGGGACCACCATCGAGAAGCAAGAAAACTGATTAAGAGAATGACTTATCCCGCCGACGGTATAGAGACCACAGCTACCTCTCCCACAGCCCAGCAAGACCCGGGGGCTCCCAAAGGCCAGCGCGGGAACCCCGCTGAGAAAACGTCTGGGTGGCGGGCAAGCCCCCTCCACGCCCCTCAGCAGCGCGCCGCTGCCGCCGCGGTCTCCCTCCTTGAATCACTCACCGCCCCAGGGCCCAGCCGGGGATGGAGCAGGAAGTGAGTCCTCCACCGCCGAGCCGCACCCGGCCCGCAACCCCGAGGCTGTGCCTCCCAGAACCCGACCGGGATTCGTGACAGGGCTGTGGGGACACAGGTGGGACTCCGGCTTCGACAGCCAGCGGCCGGAAAGTACCGCCCCCATCCTCTTGCTATTGGCTTTTCAGTTTCCATGGCTAGAATTTTTCTCTGTCCATAGGCTGATAGAGCTGTCAATTATCGCCTAGCCTTCTGGGAAACGTAGTCCCGAGCAAGACCTCAAAGGACTCGGAGCCGTGGATGTCCAGTTCCAAGCGTTGGAAAGTGCTAAACCCAATTCCCCAGCTACCGGTCCCCCGGAACCGCCTGTTTGGAGCCGAGGGATCTAAATGCTGTATCCTCACTGTGGCATCTGCAGATGTGAATCTCCTGGCCTCACCCACCTACCGCGGAGCAGCCTGGTGCCCACCATGAGGTCTCCCGCGCTCTGGCACTTCGCCCCTCCCCAGCGCAGAGCAGCTCAGCCCTCGGGCCTTTGCGGCCTCTCTTCTGCCCAGTCTTCCACCTCATCCCCGGCGGCCGGAGCCTGCAGGGTGTTTGCGGAGGCCAGGTCCCAGACCAACTCAAACTGGACATTGGAAAGGCCCAGCAGAAGCCCTTAGTAGAAAACAGACATTCCGCATCCTTCCCTTGGCATCAAACTCCCAGGCACATCCCCTTTCCGTCTGGTTGATAGCCAGAGGAGGCGGGCGAGGGCATCAAGTATTCTGGGAAATGTGATATCGGGCTTCAAACTGGGGAGGCTCCTGGGTCTCATGTGAGAGCCAGTGATCACTTTGGGTCGGCCCCTAGCTAAAAAACAACAAAGTCTTTCCTTAAAGTGAAGAAAATGTGCCTGTCTACTCCGTTTGTTGATTCAGTGCAATTTAGAAAAATAAAAGAACATTTTGTGATGTATTATAAAACGCTTAGAATTACCAGCCATAGAGTTTTTTTTTTTTTTTTTTTTTAGACGGAGTCTCGCTCTGTCGCCCAGGCTAGAGTGCAGTGGCACGATCTCGGCTCACTGCGAGTTCTGCCTCCCAGGTTCACACCATTCTCCTGCCTTAGCCTCCCGAGTAGCTGGGACTACAGGCGCCCGCCACCACACCCGGCTAATTTTTTGTATTTTTAGTAGAGACGGGGTTTCACCATGTTAGCCAGGATGATCTCCATCTCCTGACCTCGTGATCCGCCCGCCTCGGCTTCCTAAAGTGCTGGGATTACAGGCGTGAGCCACCGTGCCCGGCCCGAGTTAATGTTGAAGATCCCTTTGATGCTAATTCCACCATTCCTTCAACAAAAATAAGGTGCATTTTCCAGTGGATATTTATTGGGAACATTCTGTTCTCAAGATCGTTCTGGGGGCAGGGCGTGGTGGCTCACGCCTGTAATCCCAGCACTTTGGGAGGCCGAGGCGGGAGGATCACGAGGTCAGGAGATCGAGACCATCCTGGCTAACATGGTGAAACCCCGTCTCTACTAAATATAGAAAAAATTAGCCGGGCGTGGTGGCGGGCGCCTGTAGTCCCAGCTACTCGGGAGGCTGAGGCAGGAGAATGATGTGAACCCGGGAGGTGGAGCTTGCAGTGAGCCGAGATCGCGCCACTGGACTCCATCCTGAGCGACAGAGCAAGACTCCGTCTCAAAAAAGAAAAAAAGAAAGAAAAAAAAAAAAGATCGTTCTGGGAACTGTGATTACTCGGGAATCATACATAACCATTACCTTCATGAAGTTCACAGGCCAAAAGGGGAAATAAACCATAAAAGGTATCAAAATCCTAAGTAATTTTTTTTTCCATATAGCCAGTGGCATCTTAGTTATTTTGCTACACAATTATAGTCATCTGCAAGGTAACTACATTGCATTTTCGGAAACTCTGTCGACTATGAACAAATGTCTGGTTAGCAGAGGTAGTTAGACGTAGTTAGATTTAGTTAGACGAAATTGAGGAAAATGGAAATCTCAGAGGAGGTCAGTAACAAAGTAACACCCAGGAAACCTAGGGATTGCCAGTCCTCCTGTAACTGGAACAGAGTTCAGGACCTGGAGAACCGAAGGCATCTTCAGACCCCTCGGTAAGTCTTTCTAGCATTTTGCCATTAAGGAGATCATGAAGATTATTCTTCAATCTGGGACTGGAGTGGGGAGATGAATGAAGAGTCACAGAATCTGGCTGGTGGCTATCCCCTGCCGCTCTCTGCAGCTTCTGTTCCTTCTGCCTTACCTTGTTCTCTCGGCGGTTTGTTCACAATGATCAGGTGTGTGGGGAGTAGGGGAAAGGAAGCTTGGTCTCACGAGAAGAGCAGTCAGTACAGGAAACCAATCATGTACCCGCAATGGCCACGTGAAGAGAGGATCATTACCTGTTGAGGGGTTGGGTGCTAAAGGGCGTGGCCGAGAGGAGGCGTAGAAGAGCCAGGAAAAACTGTGAAAGGACTTCAAGGAGCATGAAAAGACAGAAAGACTTCAGCACTTGCTATAACTGAATTTATTTATTTATTTATTTATTTATTTATTTTGAGACAGAGTCTTGCCCTGTCGCCCAGGCTGGAGTGCAATGGCACCATCACAGCTCACTGCAACCTCTGCCTCCTGGCTTCAAGCGATTCTCCTGCCTCAGCCTCCCAAGTAGCTAGGATTACAGGCGTGCACCACCACGCCCGGCTAATTTTTTGTATCTTTAGTAGAGACGGGGGTGTCACCATGTTGGCCAGGCTGGTCTCGAACTCCTGACCTCAGGTGATCCACCCGCCTTGGCCTCCCATAGTGCTGGAACTACAGGCGTGAGCCATCGCACCCTGCCAGAACTGATTTTTTTAAAGAGAGAGTCTATCATTATCTATTGCTGTGTAACAAATTACCCCAAAATTTATTGGTTTAAAAAACCAAATATTTGGTTTTTGTGCTCCCAGCTGTTTGGAAAAGCCGCCGGTATTTCTCCACCTGGCTCTCCTCTACCTCCAGGCAGGCGCACCCGAGGTCCCCCTCCCACCCCACCTTCTGCCCTCCCGCACACTTGGACCAGTGCTGTTGACCCGGAAGCGGACATTTCTGCAGCTATTCTAAGCACACGTCGGCGGAGGGAGCGGGACGTGGCCAGCGGTCAGCGGCGAAGGAGGCAGGCCCTGCGCGGGGATCACGGAAGCCCTGTGATTCACCATGAAGTTCCAGTACAAGGAGGTCCATCCCTTTGAGTATCGGAAAAAGGAAGGAGAAAAGATCCGGAAGAAATATCCGGACAGGGTCCCCTTGATTGTAGAGAAGGCTCCAAAAGCAAGGGTGCCTGATCTGGACAGGAGGAAGTACCTAGTGCCCTCCGACCTTACCGATGGCCAGTTCTACCTTTTAATCCGGAAGAGAATCCACCTGAGACCTGAGGACGCCTTATTCTTCTTTGTCAACAACACTATCCCTCCCACTAGTGCTACCATGGGCCAACTATATGAGGACAGTCATGAGGAAGATGATTTTCTGTATGTGGCCTACAGTAATGAGAGTGTCTATGGGAAATGAGTGGTTGGAAGCCCAGCAGATGGAAGCACCTGGACTTAGGGGTAGGGGAGGGGTGTGTGTGTGACTTGGGGAAAGAGAGGGCGGCTCCCACCGTGAGGAGACAGAAGGTGAAGACATATAGAAACTTTACACCGCACACACCGTCAACGCATTTTCACATGCTCAACTGATATTTTTTGTTGCTTCCTTGGCCCAGGGAGAAAGCATGTCAGGACAGAGCTGTTGGATTGGCTTTGATAGAGGAATGGGGATGATGTAATTTTATGGCATTCCTGAGATTTAATTTTTGTGCAGTTTCATAGAAAGGTCGGTCAGGAGGTGGACAAGTTGGGGTCAGAGATGATGGCAGTCCAGCAGCAACTCCCTGTGCTCCCTTCTCTTTGGGCAGAGATTCTGTTTTTGACAGTTGCACAAGACAGGTAGGGAAAGGGGACTTGTGGTAGTGGGCCATACCTGGGGACGAAAAGAGACCCACTGTAATTGATGCATCGTGGCCCCCGATCTTCCGTATCCCACACTTCTTTTCTCCCATCCCAGTTGCAATCTCACTCACAAACATCACAGTACCACCCCAGGGGCGGCAGTAGACACCAACCCAGAAATTTAGACAGGGATCTCTTATCTTTGGAAAATAGGGGTTAGGCATGAGGGTGGTTATGATTAAGAAGATAATTTTGTTGTTAAATAGCATTAAACTGGAATTGACAGAGTGAGTTGAGCATCTCTGTCTAACCTGCTCTTTCTCTCTGGTGCTCCTCATCTCACCCCTACCTTGGAATTTAATAAGCTTCAGGCATTTCCAATTGCAGACTAAAACCACTTCTACCATCTCCTCTAGTATTTTCCATGTATCAGGACAGAGATGTCTTATGTAGGGAAGGGGCAGGTATGAAGTGAGGTAGATTATCTATACCTCTCACTCATTCAGGATTCTCGCTCCCATGCTGCTGTCCCTTCATTCTCACACTCACAGGAATGCTATGTGATGGCCAGCTGCTTCCCTTCTTGGTTATCCACTGCAGCTGCTAGTTAGAAAGGTTTGCAGGGATGACTTTTAGTAAATCATGGGGATTTTATTGATTTATTATCACTTATAGGATTTTGTGGGGTGGGAGTGGGGAGCAGGAATTGCACTCAGACATGACATTTCAATTCATCTCTGCAAATGAAAAGGGTTCTTCCTCTTGGGGGAAATCTGTGTGTCAGTTCTGTCAGCTGCAAGTTCTTGTGTAATGAAGTCAATGCTGTCAGGCCAAGTGAAGGGAAAAGAGAGATCAGACTGTTACTGTGTCTATGTAGAAAGGAAAGACATAAGAGACTCCATTTTGAAAAAGACCTGTACTTTAAACAATTGCTTTGCTGAGATGTTGTTAATTTGTAGCTTTGCCCCAGCCACTTTGACCCAACCACTGTGACCCAACTTGGAGCTCACAAAAACATGTGTTGTATAAAATCAAGGTTTAAGTGATCCAGGGCTGTGCAGGACGTGCCTTGTTAACAAAATGTTTACAAGCAGTATACTTGGTGAAAGTCATCGCCATTCTCTAGTCTCAATAAGCCATGGGCACAATGTACTGTGGAAAGCTGCAGGGACCTCTGCCCTTGAAAGCGGGGTATTGTCCAAGTTTTCTCCCCGTGTGATAGTCTGAAATATGGCCTCGTGGGATGAGAAAGACCTGACTGTCCCCCAGCCCGACACCCGTAAAGGGTCTGTGCTGAGGTGGATTAGTAAAAGAGGAAAGCCTCTTGCAGTTGAGATAGAGGAAGGCCACTGTCTCCTGTCTGCCCCTGGGAACTGAATGTCTCGGTATAAAACCCGATTGTACATTTGTTCAATTCTGAGATAGGAGAAAAACCGCCCTATGGTGGGAGGCGAGATATGTTTGCAGTAATGCTGCCTTGTTATTCTTTACTCCGCTGAGATGTTTGGGTGGAGAGAAACATAAATCTGGCTTACGTGCACGTCCAGTCATAGTACATTCCCTTGAACTTAATTATGACATAGATTCCTTTGCTCACATGTTTTTTGCTGACCTTCTCCTTATTATCACCCTGCTCTCCTACTACATTCCTTTTTGCTGAAATAATGAAAATAATAATCAATAAAAACTGAGGGAACTCAGAGGCCGGTGCCAGTGCAGGTCCTTGGTGTGTTGAGTGCCGGTCCCCTGGGCCCACTGTTGTTTCTCTATACTTTGTCTCTGTGTCTTATTTGTTTTCTCAGTCTCTTGTCCCACCCGACTAGAAATACCCACAGGTGTGGAGGGGCAGGCCACCCCTTCACCAAGGAAATGAAATAATTGCTTACCTTAAAAAACAAAACAAAACATTTGCCAGGTGCAGTGGCTTATGCCTGTAATCCCAGCACTTTGGGAAGCTGAGGCAGGAGGATTGCTTGAGCCCAGGAGTTCAAGACCAGCCTGGGCAACATGGCAAGGCCTCGTCTCTACTAAAAATAAAAAAATCAGCTGGGTTTGGTGATGCGTACGTGTAGTCTCAGCTACCTGGGAAGCTGAGGTAAGAGGATCACTTGAGCCTGGGGAGATTGAGGCTGCAGTGAGCCAGGATGGCACCACTGCACTCTGGCCTGGAAGACAGAGTGAAACCCTGTCTCAAAAAAAATTATTTTATTTCTGTTGATTAGGAATCTGGAACAGCCTAGGTGAGTATCTCTAATTGAAGGTCTCTCACAAGGTTGCAGTCTAGACACTGGCTGGGACTACAGTTATCTGTAGGATTGACTGGGGCTGGATGATCAGCTTGCTCCCAAGCTCCCTCATGTGACTGTTTCCTCACGTGTAGCTTCTCCTCACAACGTGTCAGCTGGCTTCCCCAGGGTGAGTGATTGAGAGAAAGAAGCAGAAGCTGCAATCTAACCTTGGAAGTGATAGACCATCATTTCTGCCATACTCCTTTGGTCACACAGACCAACCCTGGTACAGTGTGGGAGGGGACTACACAAAGGTATGAATACTTGGAGGCAAGGATCACAGTGAGTGTATTAGTCTGGGTTCTCCAGAGAGAAAGAATCAATAGGATATATAGATATAGAGAACCAGGGAAGCCAGTAGTGTGAGTCAGTTTAAGTTCAAAGGCCCAAGAACTTGAGGGGCTGCTGGTGCAAGTCCTGAAGTCTGAAGGCTGAAGAACCTGGAGTTCTGATGTCTAACATCAGGAGAAGGGTGTCCCAGCTCAGAAGAGAGAGAGAGAAAATTCGCCTTTCCTCTGCCCTTTTGCACTATCTGGGCCCTCAGCTGAGTGGATGCTACCATCCACCCTGGGTGAGGGCAGATCTTCCTTATCAGTCTACTGATTTAAATGCCAGTCTCTTCCAAACACACTTACAGGCATAACTATAAAGCTTTCTCAGCTATCTGGGTATTCCTTAATCTAGTCAAGTTGACACCTGAAACTTTTTTTTTAGAGACAGGGTCTCACTCTCTTACCCAGGCTTCCATGCAGTGGTGTGATCATAGTTCATTGCAGCCTCAAACTCCCAGGTTCAAGTGATCCTTCCACCTCAGCCTCCCAAGCAGCTAGGACTATAGGCATGTGCTACTGCACTTGGCTAATTTTAAAATTTTTTATAGAGAGGGGGTCTTGCTATGTTGCTGAGGCTGGTCTTGAACTCCTGGGCTCAAGTGAGCCCCCTGCCTCAGTCTCCCAAAGTGCTGGGATTACAGGCTTGAACCACCACACCCAGCTGACACCTAAAATTAACCATCATAGTGGGCCACCTTAGAGGCTGACTACCACAGGGACTACAGAGGACTTTAGGACATTGTCCTTGTGATGTACTCCATCATGCTCCTATGACAGCTCTTTAAGGAAACTTACAGTAAAGATCTCTATGTATGGGGAACTGGGGAGACGATCCCATTACTCAAACTAGGAGCCTTAGAGACTTCTGCAACCCTTCATGCTACATAGGATCAAAGTCTTGGGTACTACCTCTTACCTTCTTGCTACTCAATTCAGCTATGACTGCCAGTTCTACTCTGTTGCAACCATAGAATGTTGGCTCCAGAATGCTCTATGGGTCAGTTTCCTTCAACACTTCAAAAAAGAAGTAGGCTACAAGTTCCTTTATTTCAGCTTCCCCTCAACCTCTCTGGGGTTCCTATTATTACCCTTCCCTACCTTTCCCATTGATGTTAATTTCCCTGGCCTACCTTTAATCATGGAAGGCTGTCAAGAAGTGTATTTATTAGGAACTGCACTTGTCCATATGCAAGAGAACCCTGACTACTGTGGTTTATCCAAATCAGGGATTATTTTTCTCATGTATCAAGAAGTCTAAAAAGGCTGGTTGCAGTGGCTCACACCTGTAATCCCAGCAATCTGGGAGGCCGAAGTGGGTGGGTCACTTGAGGCCAGGAGATTGAGACCAGCCTGGCCAACATGGCAAAACCCTGTCTCTACTAAAAATACAAAAAAGTTAGCTGGCCATAGTGGTGCATGCCTGTAATCCCAGCTACTCAGGAGGCTGAGTCAAGAGAATCGCTTGAGCCTGGGAGTTAGAGATTGCAGTGAGCCGAGATTGCACCACTGCACTCCAGTCTGGATGACAGAGAGAGACTCTGTCTCAAAAAAAAAAAAAAAAAAAAAAAAAAAAAAAGTCTAGAGATTGGTAATACTTGGCTAGTAAAGTAACTCCAGGATGCTGTCAAGGACCTGGGTGTTCTCTGTCTTCCTGCTCTGTCAACCCTGATGGGTGGCTCTTGTCCTCATGGTCACTTCCAGTCATCATGGCTGTATTCCGGAATAGAATATTCTGCCAGAGCAATAGAATGCTCTGCCATTAAATGTTATTATCACTGAAATTATGTCATGGAACATAGACAAATGAAAGATGTAACAAAGTGTGTGGCAAAACACATGTGAAATATGATTCCATTTGCATCTGGTGAATATCTGTCACTTGTCTACCAGCACACTATCCTTCTAGGGGAAATAGCAACTGATTTTTCTTTACAGAACAGCACCCCATGCATAGTTCAGATGGGAGCTGCCATCTGCTTACCTGATCCCTCCTCTCCATCACAGGGTCTGGTTTGGAGGTGAGCACTCAACCCAAACTGAGCCTACCGCAGAACTGTGCTATCTTGCCCAAGATGATTTGTCAAGAAGAGCACAGATGACTCATGCTGAGCCTATCAGGGACCTCTCCTGGGACTTTGTAAGCTGGAACCAAAGGAAAAGGACCTGTTGCTTTCCAGAAGTAAAGATGGGAAGACGTGAGTCTGTAGGCCATGGCAGCCATATTTCCTGCCAGCTGGACCGCATTCCGAGAGAATGAGACGAAGGCAGAGAGAGGGAAGCAGAGGGCAGAAGCTGGAAAACTTTTGAGAGCATTTTGAATCCTGGGTCACTGAGGCCAGAAATAACTCTGAATTTTCCTTATGTTTGTTTTATGAGTCAATAAATATTCCCATCTTGCCTAAGATAGTTTGAATGGTAAAGTCCAGGCACTTGCAATTCAAACATTTCCCACTAATGCACCATCATTTCTGTTTCATGCATATGTACACACATATACACATATATGTACATAAATACAGTACAGAAATACATTTTTCTTATCTGTATTTTAAATCTTCCTTAAAGAACACATTAATTTTTAATACCAATTTTTAGAATTACCCATTTAAAATTATTCATTGTAAAGGATCCAGATAATTCACCCAAAAGTGAATAAAATTAGAAACAAAATGAGCAGTTTTCATCTTTGCTAATAATAACAAAGTAGCAAAATTATCTCAAACCCTTTTAAGCTGAACCACTTCCAGGATAGTTAACCAATTCAACTCCTTGGTGGAAATTCACAACAAAGTACTTAATGTCTAGGTCTAAGTGATTTAAAAGGCTGAGGCAGGGATTATCACCAATTGGTTTGATAATGGACAGTTATCTTAAGAGCTCCCTCTTTACAGATAACAAGGGGTCAGCATGCCCACATTTGCAGGAGGGAGGCCTGAGTAGATTTCTGGAGGGACTCCCCATCTATGCCTGCCAAGATCTGGGAACCAACTTCATTTCCTGTTTCTGCAACCCCACATCCTTTATAAAAAGACTGTTCTGTGTGCTGTGAACCGTATGAGGAAGCCTTTGTGACCTTCATACACTAATTTTTGCAAGACAGAAATTCTCTATTTAAAGATGCATGTTGAAGGCTCACGCCTGTAATCCCAGCACTTTGGGAGGCTGAGACAGTTGGATCATTTGAGGTCAGAAGTTCAAGACCAGCCTGACCAACATGGTGAAACCCCATCTCTACTAAAATACAAAAATCAGGACAGGTGCGGTGGCTCACGCTTGTAATCCCAGCACTTTGGGAGAACAAGGCAGGGCGATCACGAGGTGAGGAATTTGAGACCAGCATGGCCAACACAATGAAACCCCGTCTCTACTAAAAATACAAAAATTAGCCAGGCGTGGTGGCAGGTGCCTGTAATCCCAGCTACTCAGGAGGCTGAGGCAAGAGAATCGCTTGAACCTGGGAGGCAGAGGTTGCAGTGAACCAAGATCAGGTCACTGCACTCCAGCCTGGGCGACAGAGCTAGACTTCATCTCAAAACAAAACAAAATTAGCCCGGCGTGGTGGTGGGCTCTCATAATCCCAGGTACTCGGGAGGTTGAGGCAGGAGAATTGCTTGAACCCAGGAGGTGGAGGTTGCAGTGAGCCAGGATAGCGCCACTGCACTCCAGCTTGGGAGACAGAGTGAGACTCCCTCTCAAAAAATAAAAAATAGCCGGACGCGGTGGCTCACGCCTGTAATCCCAGCACTTTGGGAGGCCGAGGCGGGTGGGTCACGAGGTCAGGAGATCGAGACCATCCTGGCTAACATGGTGAAACCCCATCTCTACTAAAAATACAAGAAAAAATTAGCCGGGCATGGTGACAGGCGCCTGTAGTTCCAGCTACTCGGGAGGCTGAGGCGGGAGAATGGCGCGAACCTGGGAGGCGGAGCTTGCGGTGAGCTGGGATCACGCCACTGCACTCCAGCCTGGATGACAGAGCAAGACTCTGTCTCAAAAAATAAATAAATAAATAAATAATAAAATAAAACACATTGCTAAACCCTACCTTCCTCCTAAGTAGGAGGAATTTAAAAAATAAAAATAAAAAAAATAAAGATGCATGTTGAAATCACATATTCCATCACCATGGGGAATTTCTCATTTCCTCTAACAAAACACTTTTCTTTATTTTTATGATTATATAATATACATTCTTTTTTTTTAAAGAAAATTAGAAATATACATAAAGAGAAAATTCCTACCATCCAGTACAAAAACACTATTAATATTTTGTTACGTAACGGCCGGGTGCAGTGGCTCACCCCTGTAATCCCAGCACTTTGGGAGGCTGAGGTGGGCAGATCATTTGAGGTAAGAAGTTCAAGACCAGCCTGGCCGACATGGTGAAACCCCATTTCTACTAAAAACACAAAAAACTTAGCCAAGTGTGATGGTGGGCGCCTGTAATCCCAGCTACTCAGGAGGCCGAGGCTGGAGAATCACTTGAACCTGGGAGGCGGAGGTTGCAGTGGCCGAGATCGTGCCATTGCACTCCAGCCTGGGAGACAGAGTGAGACTCTGTTTCAAGAAAATAGATAAATAAATAAATAAAAATACAAAAATTAGCCTAGTGTGGTGGCACACACCTGTAATCCCAGCTACTCGGGAGGCTGAGGCAAGAGAATTGCTTGAACCCGGCAGATGGAGGTTTGCAGTGAGCTGAGATCTTGCCACTGCATTCCAGCCTGGGCGACAGAGTGAGACTCCATCTCAAGAAAAAAAAAATTGTTACATATCTTTCAAGTCTGTGCAATAGAAAATTTTCTCTGAGCAGAAGCTAGAGTTCAGACATCTCTGGAGAGAGGGAGAGACTCCCTTTCTTTCCCTACTCCATTTGGATCCTCTATGTGTGTTGACATCTGGTGTTTTTTTTCTTTTTAAACTGATCATGGCTCGTTGCAGCCTTCAACTCCCGAGCTCAAGAGATCCTCCTGCCTCGGCCTCCCATAGCACAGGAATTACAGGCATGAACCTGTAATGTAAACCCTTTTATGTTTAAAGAGAGGGGAGATTTTTGGTACAGCGGTGCCTAGGGAGGCAGAGAGGAGGACACTTTGGTGAACAGTCTGGTGTCAGCTGGTTTCTTCTGCCAGCCCATAACAGCAACTGAGAACAAAGGAGTGAGACCTTGGTCCCAGGTGACACCATGTCCTAATCAGTTGCTGACTGTGGTTCCCCATGATAGCGCCACGCCCCTAAGCAGGGCTGCTGCAGTGCAGGCAACCGGGAGGTGGAGGAGGCTGCAGGTGGAGGCTGCAGGGCATGTACTTAATGTGTGAAATAGTGCCACCTGTAGAGATTCCCAAACGAAAAGGGAAGGATTTTCCGAATGAGGGTGAGAAACAACACTGAGGCCATGTAGTTAAGGAGATGGTGTTTCTCAAATTGCTTCTCAAACACCTGGGGAGCTTGCATTTAAAAAAAAACAAAAAACTTTTAAACGCCTTTTATTACTTTGATCATTTTTACTTTTAATGACGTTAGCAGCAGCATTGTATTTGCAGGAAACCTTGTACATTACACTTACATAGGTGATCCAAAATAAATCCACAGTATTTTTGAGTGGCCAGGGAACATTAAATATCATATGGCAATTTTTTGGAATATGATGACTTTCACAGCATTTTCTTTTCCTCCTTTGTGGGAACGAAAGAAAGCAATATGCTATTTTTAAAAGTTTGCAGGCAATGTGCTAAGTTGGTTTTGTTTTTTAATTTTTTTGAGAAAAAATTCACAAGATAAAATTCACATTTTTGAAGTGTACAGTTCAGTGTGTTATTTATTATTATTATTTTTTGAGGTGGAGTCTCACTCCGTCGCCCAGGCTAGAGTGCAATGGCACAATCTCGGCTCACTGCAACCTCTGCCTCCCGGGTTCAAGCCATTCTCCTGCCTCAGCCTCCGGAGTAGCTGGGATTACAGGCAGGTGCCACGATGCCTGGCTAATTTTTGTATTTTTGGTAGAAACAGAGTTTCACCATGTTGGCCAGGCTGGTCTCAAACCCATGACCTCAAGTGATCCACCTGCCTCGGCCTCCCAAAGTGCTGGGATTACAAGCATAAGCCACCACGCCCAGCCCAGTGTCTCTAAATTTATTCCTAATGTTGTGCAATCATCACCAGCATCTAATTCCACAACACTTCCATCACCCCAAAAGGAAACTCTGTACCCATTATCAGTGCCTCCCAATTACCCCCTTCTCCCAGCCCCTGGCAAACACTACTCTACTTTCTGTCTGTATAGTTTTGCCTATTCTGGACATTTTACACAAATGAAATCACACAACATGTGGCCTTTTGTGTCTGGCTTCTTTCACTTAGTGTAATGTTTCAAGGTTTCTCCATGTTGTAGCATCTACAGTTTCAACCTGCAGGGCTCAAGCGATCCTCCCACCTCAACCTCCCAAGTAGCTGGGACTCCAGAGGCACGCGCCACCACACCTGGCTAATTTTTGCATTTTTAAAGTAGAGGTGAGGCCTCACCATGTTGCCCAGACTGGTCTCAAACTTCTGGGGTCAGGCGATCCTCCTGCCTCCATCTCTGGAGTAGCTGGGACCACAGGCATGAGCCACTACATCCAGCTGAATGTACCGTTTTTGTTTATCCATTCGTCAGTTAATGTGGGAGCTTGCATTTTTAAATCCGTATTCCGATTCAGCCGGTCTAGGATGGGGCTTGAGATTGTGCATTTCTAGTAACTTCCCAGGTGTTGCTTGAGATACTGCTGGTTCAAGGACAACACCTTGAGTAGTGAAGATTTAGACACCAAAGTCTACATTTTAGAGCACAGTGATTTAAGATATCAATGTAGACATGAACCTGGAACATACTGGTTAAACACACTCATACATATACACACTTTTTTTTTTCAAACAAGCAATAATGAACTCATGCTGTTGATATTATTTAGTAACTTGCTTCTGTAACTTAACCGTATTTATGAACATAATGATTCATGCAAACAAATCCACAAAAGCATCATGACCCATCAGATCAAAATACAACCAACTGATTCCCAGCCTGGGCTCTGCTGAAACACTCCATTACACTTCCTTTATCAAGACTAATGAGGTATTGATTTTTAGCATTGAATTCTGACCTAACCAAAGCCACTGCTCATCATGAGCACATGAATGAACTTTTGTTTCACAGCCTGGGCTTGACATTAGCAAACATTTCAACACCAATATCTATAAGCAACAAATAGTCATATTAATGGTAATTGTAATGAATGCTTGTTATAGACAACGGGAATGCAACATCCCTGGCTTATGAATTTGCCAATTGCTCTTCCTCATTGTGGGTCTTTCTCATAGAAGATGGGCAGTGCCTCTTTTGTGAGAACATTTCTGGGCCAAGGATATCAAGAGACACGTTGGTACACATCAGCCTAAATACATTACCTTATTTCATCTAGAAGGCCACTTATGTACCACCAAGAAAGGGAACAAAACTGCCGATTAAACTCTGACATTCTGTCAATTGTGAGATAAATCCTGATTTCAATGATGTTAAAAGGTAATAAAATGGCTGGGCATGGTGGCTCATGCCTGTAATCCCAGCACTTTGGGAGGCCGAGATGGGCGGATCACCTGAGTTCAGGAGTTCGAAACCAGCCTGGCTAACATGGTGAAACCCTGCCTCTACTAAAAATACAAAAATTAGCCGGGCATAGTGACGGGCATCTGTAATCCCAGCTATTCAGGAGGCTGAGGGGGGAGAATCCCTTGAACCAGGGAGGCGGAGGTTGCAGTGAGACGAGATCACATGACTGTACTCCAGGCTCAGTGACAGAGCGAGACGCCAACTCAAAAAAAAGGTAATAAAATGTACATCTCAGAATGAGTGCAGTGTGCAAAGTGCCAGTGTTCCCACCTGTACTAGACTGGTTTTTTTTTGTTGTTTTCTGTTTTATTTATTTATTTATTTATTTTGAGACAGGGTCTTGCCCTGTCATCCAGGCTGAAGTGCAAAGGCATGATTATGGCTCACTGCAGCCTCAATGTTTGGGGCTCAAATGATCCTCCCACCTCAGCCCCTAGAGTGGCTGGGGCTACAGATATGCACCACCACACCCAGCTAATTTTTAAAATTTTTTTTTATAAAGACAGGGGTCTCTCTATGTTGCCCAGACTGGTCTCGAACTCCTGGGCTCAAGTGATCCTCCTGCCTCGGCTTCTCAAAGTGCTGGGATTATGGGCATGAGCCATCAAACCTGGCCCTGTACCAGATTCATTTTACATGCCGTTACAAATCCTGCACTTGCCTTGCTTTCTGGCCAGAACTCTAACAATGACTTGCTCTGTGGTAGCTACTCCAGGTTCCTCATGTCACGTAAGGGCATGACACCACAGCACCTGGCCTTGCACCAGCATCTCTGCTCCTATCCTCCTGCCATGTGGGTTTCCTGTTGCTATTGATATGAGAGACCCTGTGGACCATCTCAAATCCCATGGATGCACAGTGGCTTACCCTCCAGGTTGATGCTTGGCCATAGAGGCTGACACTTCTGTCTTGGGTTCTGGCTTTCTCCATGGCTGCTGGAGGAGTTGGGCGGCTCAACTCATAAGCTAAAAGGAGTTGACACCCTGAGGGGCAAACTTCGACCAATAGGAGATGGCAGCCTATAGATAAACGTATTCCCTTCCTTACCCCCTCCCCACCTGGGCCTCTTCCTGTGACTGCACAGAGTGTGGAGAGATGCAGTGGCTTACTCTGGCTTCTCAGAGACTCGCTTCCCCTATGCGAGCTCAGTTGCTTCTTCTAAGAGTGAGGAAGCAATTGTGCTTGCCTAAGTTGTGGTCAGGACCATCATGCATGCTCTTATGTTGACTCGTCCTCGTTGTTTGACTTGTTCCCCTTTTCCCTTCACTCATGCCTCCCTGGGATTCTATACTCTCATAAAGCTTTGCCTCAGGCTCTCTTTTCTAAGGAACCCAGGCTAAGACACCAACTCAACTGACACATTTTGTGGGAATGTGGTCATGTGCCAATGTAAATAGGGAAAAGAGAAGGGGTATGAAAAGAGAGGAGAGGTAGAAGCAGCATTCTGGAATTTTCCAAGATGTCAGTATCAGGACTTAATAATTTTTTACTCACAAAAGGCAGTTGATATAGAAGATCTCTTTATGCTCAGATATAACAGCTACTATTTGCCTTTAGAAGGAAGTAGATCCAACATCTGACTTCTTAGAGATTAATTATAATAATTACAATGAATGGTGATAATAGCTCCTTTGACCTAGCATTTCCACTTCTAAGAATTTATCCTAGAGATACTTCTGAATGTACACAAAGTTGTGTATACAAGATAATATTACATTGTTTGTCATAATGTTTGTAGTAACAAAAGAGTGGAACAGCCAGGCATGGTGGCACACATCTGTAGCCCCAGCTATTCAGAAGGCTGTGATGGAAGAGTCCCTTGAGCCCAGGAGTTCAAGGCTATGGTACACTATGATGTCACCTGTGAATAGCCACTGCACTCCAGCTTGAGTAACATAGTGAGGCCCCCATCTCTAAAAATAATAATAATAATAATAATAAATAGAAACAACCCAAATGTCAATCAGTAGGAGACAGTCTAAATGAATTATGATTCCAAGGCCATGAAACAGTATGTAGCCATTAAAAATAATGAGGTTGGCTGGGTGCGGTGGCTCACGCCTGTAATCCCAGCACTTTGGGAGGCCAAGGTGGGTAGATCGCCTGAGGTCAGGAGTTCGAGACCAGCCTGGCCAACGTGATGAAACCCAGTTTCTACTAAAATTACAAAAAATTAGCTGGGTGTGGTGTTGGGTGCCTGTAATCCCAGCTATTCAGGAGGCCAAGGCAGGAGAATCACTTGAACCTGGGAGGTGGAGGTTGCAGTGAGCCAAGATTGTGCCATTGCACTCTAGCCTGGGCAATGAGACCAAAACTCCATCTCAAAAAAAAAAAAAAAGAAAAAGAAAAAAAAAGATCTGTATATACCTTTCTATAATTCACAGACTATCTGGAATGATACGTAAGAAACTGCTAAGTAGTTACTCTGGAGAAGGGAACTGGGGACCTGTGGCCTGAGCGACAGAGGTGGGAGTGAGTCTTACTTTTCACTGTTTGTTTTGCTTCCAATTTTGAAATTTTATTTTATTGTATTTTATTTTTTGAGATAAAGTCTCATTCCTGACACGCAGGCTGGAGTGCAGTGGCACAATCTCGGCTCACTGCAACCTCCACCTCCCGGGTTCAAGCAATTCTCCTTCCTCAGCCTCCTGAGTTAGCTGGGATTACAGGTGTGCGCCACCATACCCAGCTAATTTTAGTATTTTTAGTAGAGCCAGGGTTTCGCCATGTTGGCCAGGCTGGTCTCGAACTCCTGACCTCAGGTGATCTGCCCGCCTCGGCCTCCCAAAGTGCTAGGATTACAGGTGTGAGCCACCATGCCTGGCCTGAAATTTTACTTCTATTTTTAATTTTTGTGGGTTCATAGTAGGTTTATATATTTATGGGGTACCTGAGATGTTTTGATACAGGCATGCAATGCGTAATAATCACATCATGGAAGATGGGGTATTCATCCCCTCAAAAGCCGTTGTGTTACAGACAATCCAATTATATACTCTTTTAGTTATTTATTATTATTTTCTAAAACTGAGACAGGCTCTCACTATGTTGCCCAGGCTGGTCTCATACTCCTGGGCTCAAGTGATACTCCTGCCTTGGCCTCCCAAAGTGCTGGGATTACAGGCGTGAGCCACTGCACCCAGCCCTCTTTTAGTTATTTTTAAATGTACAATTAAATTATTATTGATTGTAGACAATTTTTTAACCATATATATTATTACTGTAAACCAAAAATAAAATTCTAAGGCCCCCACCAACCATGTACATTCTTGGGTAGGGCTCTTTTAAAATTTAACCTGACGCCGGGTGCGGTGGCTCCTGCCTGAATCCCAGCACTTTGGGAGCCCAAGGCAGGTGGATCACCTGAGGCCAGAAGTTCGAGATCAGCCTGGCCAACATGGTGAAACCCCGTGTCTACTAAAAATACAAAAAATTAGCCAGGCGTTCTGGTGGGTGCCTGTAGTCCCAGCTACTCAGGAGACTAAGGCAGGATAGTCGCTTGAACCTGGGAGGTGGAGGCTGCAGTGAGCTGAGATTGCACCATTGCACTGCAGCCCAGGTGACAAAGCAAGACTTCATCTAAAAAAAAAAAAAAAAAAAAAAAAAAAATTTAACCTGAGAAACTGGTTCAGCCATGAAGGGAAGTGGTGTTCAGACATGCCTCATTATACCTTGCTGGCACTGACATCAACACAGACATGAAGTCTGATAAGAAACATTTTACAACGTATTCTCTCTGAAGGCTTCCTCTACAAATAAGAACTTTGGTCTCTGCAATCCTTTCCAGTCTCCAGAAAAGAAATCCAGGCCTTTTTTTTCTATTGATCCAAGATCTTTAGATAAACTCAACCAATTGTCAAGCAGATAATTTTTAAACCCACCTATAACCTGGAACCCATGCCCCGCTTCCAGTTGTCCCACCTTTCTGAACCGAACCAATGTATTTCTTAAATGTATTTGATTGAAGTCTCACGTCTCCCTAAAATGTATAAAACCAAGCTGCACCTTGACCACCTTGGGTACATGTTCTCAGGACCTCCCGAGGGCTGTGTCATGGGCCATGGTCACTTATATTTGGCTCAGAATAAGTTTCTTCAAATATGTTATAGAGTTTGACTGTTTTCGTCGACATTACCTAATTGCCTAATTTCTACTGAGTGCTCACGGGTGCTTATCTTACTCTGTGATGTGGGAACTATTATTATTCTCATTTTGCAAGGAGAAAACTGAGGTATAAGAGGTAAAGTGACTTGCTCAGGGTCACACAGCTGCAGCAGCTGAGCCAGGATTCATAACTAGATCCAGCTCCAAAATCTAAGGGGACCAACTCATCGTGGTTTGCATGAGACTTTCCTGGTTTTTGCAATGAAAGTCTCACATGCTGGGAAATCTTTAAAAACTGTCCCAATTTTAAAATTGAAAGGCTGGGTCCTTTCAATTTTACATGAAAGGCTGTATCCTTTCAATTTTACAACCTCTTTCAGTCCTAGGCAAACTGGGATGGTTAGTTATCCTACTGAAGTCCCATATCTCGGCCACTTTGCTCTGCTACCTCCCTTATGAACAAATGTGTTCTATCCGATTCAGCATTCACAGGTGCCTGTAAACATGGAACTTGTATAATAGCTGCATCTGTGGATTCCTTTTGAGGCCCCTCCCCAGGCTAAATCCTCCATCTCTCAGAAATGCCCTTTCCTGCTGGAGAGGGTCCCTGGGGCCGGTTTGCGCCAACCATAGGATCCCACTTTCCTCTTGTCCAATGGTTGGATGGGGAGAGGACATTTGATCTAGGTCATAAACTCAGTGGCCACAGTCAGATTCTCTTTCCCAGGAATATGGACGTGGGATTTCGGAGACTCCTACCCAAGTGTGCAGGACTTTTGAGGTCATGGCAACCCTGTGATTGAGGGTGCCATAGGGCCATGTGTAATGAACTAGGAAGTGGGCATACCAAGCAGAAGAATAAACTGCAGAAACAAACAGTAGAAAGCTGACAGGAGAAGACAAGAAGACTGGCTCTGAGGCCACGTGGCTTCCAGCCTTGGGGTTCTTGTTCCTTGTGCGCCTGGTTTCAATTCATGCCCTGGATGCTACAAAACCACCCTATACCTTCCCACCAAATCCCTCTTTTGTTCTGGTGCTATTCTGAGTGAGTTTCCATTCTTTGAAAATCAGCATTCCCCAAATAAGGAAAACATTACTATGAATTTTTTTAAAAAGCAATTTTGAAATATAAACTTTGCGTTTTGAAGGCTTGCAATCCAAAGCAGAGAATTCTAATATTGCCCAACCTAGAGGGCCACAGGACTAATAATGTTTGGTATTCTAATTCAGGGGGCACTTTTCTTCTTTTTAAAGTACATAGGTAGGCCGGGCGCGGTGGCTCATGCCTGTAATCCCAGTACTTTGGGAGTCTGAGGCAGGTGGATCACCTGAGGTCAGGAGTTCAAGACTAGTGTGGCCAACACAGTGAAAACCCGGCTCAACTAAAAATAAAAATAAAAAAAATTAGCTGGGCATCATGGCATGCTCCTGTAATCCCAGCTACTTAGGAGGCAGAGGCAGGAGAATCACTTGAACCCGGGAGGCAGAGGTCGTAGTGAGTCGAGATTGCGCCACTGTACTCCAGCCTGGGCAACAGAGCGAGACTCCATCTCAAAAAAAAAAAAAAAAAGTTAAAGAAAGAAAGTACATAGGTAATAGGTAACTACATTTTCATGTTCAAGGTCACAAACAATACAGAAAAGATAAAGACCTATTCCATACCTTCAGCAACCTCGTTCTTTCTCATCTACCCCAACGTACACATTATTACTGGTTTCATGGGGTGCAGATCATTTTTTGTACCTTTCTATTCATATGTGTATTTTTCTCATAAATTCTACCACACACTGCAGGCCCCAGTCTGCCAGTATGTAGTCCAAATGTAGCCCATAATGGGTTTTGGATTTTTATTTATTCTTATTTTATTTTTAGAGATGAGGATTCACTCTGTCACCCAGGCTGGAGTGCAGTGGTGCAATCATAGCTCACTGCAGCCTGCAACTCCTAAGCCCTCGCCTCAACCACCATCATATATAGTCCCAGCTATGGCAGCCACCAAGCCTGGCTCCATAATGGTTTTTTTTTTGACTCACATGGTATTTTCTTTCCTTCTTTCTTTCTTCTTTCTTTCCTTTCTTTCTTTTCTTTCTCTTTTCTTTCTTTTCTTTCTTTCGATGGAGTTTTGCTCTTGTTGCCCAGGCTGGAGTGCAATGGCGTGATCTGGGCTCACTGCAACCTCTGCTTCCTGGGTTCAAGTGATTCTCCTGCCTCAGCCTCCCGAGTAGCTGTGATTATAGGCATGCGCCACCACACCCAACTAATTTTGTATTTTTAGTAGAGACAGGGTTTCTCCATGTTGGTCAGGCTGGTCTCAAACTCCCGACCTCAGGTGATCCGCCCACCTCAGCCTCCCAAAGTGCTGGGATTACAGGTGTGAGCCACCATGCCCGGCAGTATTTTCTTCTTATATTCTGAATTAGTAGCCAGCTTTTAAAATTGGGATATTTCATGGGAGTCTTGAAAATCTGGAAAATAAGGCATTACTGGGCTTGCCCTGCTGCCTGGGAAGGATTGACTGACACTGAGTGGTGGGTTGCCCTTGGTAGAAGAGTGAGATCCCCTCCTCTCCAGCCCCCACCATTCCCAGGTGTCTTACACTGGCCCACCTTACCATTTTATGTTGCCTGCCTGGCTTTTATAAGTGTTTGCTTTTTTTTTTTTTTTTTTTTTTAACCTTTGTACATGTTGTTCAATGACTTTCTCTCTCTCTCTTTTTGTAGAGACGAGGTCTCTTTATGTTGCCCATGCTGGTCTCAAACTCCTGGGCTCAAGCGATCCTCCCATAGCCTCTCGAGTAGCTGATACCACAGGCACATGCCATCATGACCAGCTTCTTTTATATTATTTTATTTTATTTTATTTTTGAGACAGGTTCTTGCTTTGTCACCCAGGCTAAAGTGCAGTGGCATGATCCTGGCTCATTGAGACCCCTCCGCCTCCTGGGGTCAAGTGATCCTCCCACTTTAGCCTCATGAGTAACTGGGACTACAGGTGTAGCCACCACACCTGGCTAATTTTTGTATTTTTTGTAGAGATGGGTTTTTGCCGTGTTGCCCAGGTTGGTGGCGAACTCCTGGCCTCAAGCGATCTGCCCACCTTGGCCTCCCAAAGTGCTGGGATTATAGATGTGAGCCACCACACCCAGCCTCAGCTTCTTTTTTTGATTGAAAACATATCACAGGCCTCCTTCTATGCAAATACATACTGATCTACTGTATTCTTTTTTTTTTTTTGAGACGAAGTTTCGCTCTTTTTGCCCAGGCTGGAGTGCAATGGTGTGATCTCAGCTTACTGCAACATCTGCCTCCCGGGTTCAAGCAATTCTCCTGCCTCAGCCTCCCAAGTAGCTGGGATTACAGGCGCACACCACCACGTCCAGCTAATTTTGTATTTTCAGCAGAGATGAGGTTTCACCATGTCGGCCAGGCTGTTCTCGAACTCCTGATCTCAGGTGATCCGCCTGCCTCGGCCTCCCAAAGTGCTGGGATTACAGGCTTGAGCCACCACACCCGGCCCATTGTATTATTTTTAATACATATGGTCTATCCTCATTATTTGTGGATTCCATATTTGTGAATTTGCCTACTCATTGCATTTATTTGTAACCCCAAAATCAATATTCATATAGCTTTGGGGATCATTTGTAGACATGTGCAAAGCAGTGAAAAATCTGAGTTGCTTGACGCACACATTCCTAAATGAGGCTGAACAGGGCGACACTGTCTTCTTGCTTCATCTGTCATACAAGTGTTCCTCCTGTGGTCCATTTGGTGCCACTTTTTTTTTTTGAATGTTTATGCTTTTTGCTGTTGATTTTGCTATTTATATTTATGTTTTTTATTTTTTTGAAACGGAGTCTTGCTCTGTCACCCAGGCTGGAGTACAGTGGTGAGGTTTTGGCTCACTGCAACCTCCGTCTCCTGGGTTCAAGCGACTCTCCTGCCTCAGCCTCCTGAGTAGCTGGGACTAGAGGTGTGTGACACCACGCCCAGCTAATTTTTGTATTTTTAGTAGAGATGGGGTACACCATGTTGGCCAGGCTGGTCTTGAACTCCCGACCTCAAATGATCCACCCACCTCAGCCTCCCGAAGTGCTGGGATTAGAGGCGTGAGCCACAGCGCCCAGCCGATTTTGGTTTTTAAATGCAAAAGTGCTGAAGTGCAGTGCAGTGCTGAAGTGTTATCTAGTGTTTGTATGATCAAGAAGGCTGTGATGGGACGTGCCTGGCAGACATGGTTAGATAAGCTTCATTCAGACAGGAGTCATAGTGCTGTGAGTTCCTCAATGAATCAACAACACAACATACCTAGAAAAAGGAAGAGGACATTGGGCAACCTGTACCTGAGGCTGCTCCAGAAAGTGCTAAATAGAGTAATGTCTGTAGTGTATGATGAAGCTGTGGAAAAGATACAAAAGTGGCCAAATTTGTGGATTCAGGAGATGATGACCAATAAAAAAAGAAAAAAGGGCATTAGACAGCTGTTGTGAGGCTGAAAAGCCAAAGAAATTTACAGTCACATTGGGTCAGGAAAATGTTAAACTGGCTTAGCTAGTATTACTGCCTCAAATGTTTCAAAATGTGTTATAACATTAAAAGTGTTATTTTTATAGGCAAGTTCTACAGATCGCGAGGCTGCAGAATAATTTTAAACATACAAGCTAAAGGCCGGGCATGGTGGCTGACACCTGTAATCTTAGCACTTTGGGAGGCTGAGGTGGGCGGATTGCTTGAGTCCAGGAGTTCATAGACCAGCCTGGGCAACATAGGGAGACCCTGTCTCTATTAATAAAAATTAGCTGGGCATGGTTTCTTGAACCTGTAGTCCCAGCTACTCAGGAGGCTGAGGTGGGAGGACCGTTTGAGCCCAGGAGGTCAAGACTACTGTGAGCTGTGATTGAGTCACTGCGCTCCAGCCTGGGCAACAGAGACCCTGTCTCAAAAAAAAAAAAAAAAAGTTATACAAGGCCAGGCATGGTGGCTCACACCTGTAATCCCAACACTTTGGGAGGCCTAAGCAAGCAGATCCCTACTTGAAGTCAGGAGTTCAAGACCAGCCTGCCCAACATGGTAAAACCCCACCTCTACCAAAAAAATATAAAAATTAACTGGGCGTGGCGGTACATGTCTGTAGTCCCAGCTATTCAGGAGGCTGAGGTGGGAGAATTGCTTGAACCTGAGAGGTGGAGGTTGCAGTGAGCTGAGATTGTGCCACTGCACTCTAGCCTGGGCGACAGAGCGAGATCCTGTCTCAAAAAAAAAAAAGCTATACAAACTAAGTGTAATATGGGAAAAGGGTAAGGGTTAGGTAGGAAAGCAGTTTTTCAACTCTGATAAGGCTGGCTTGTTTTAATGAGAACACATGGACACAGGAAGGGGAACATCACACTCTGGGGACTGTTGTGGGGTGGGGGGAGCGGGGAGGGATAGCATTAAGAGATATACCTAATGCTAAATGACGAGTTAATGGGTGCAGCACACCAGCATGGCACATGTATACATATGTAACTAACCTGCACATTGTGCACATGTACCCTAAAACTTAAAGTGTAAAAAAAAAAAAAAAAAAGACTGGCTTGTTTTACAAGGACATTGGCAAATTAACCTATATAATGCAAATAGCCTCCAAACCCCAGGCTTTAAATCTTTGAAGGACTATGCAATCAATCATTTGTAAGAAAGGTACACTGAATAATGTATTTCAAACAGAAGCACACATGATTGATTAATGAAAATATTGTGACCAGAGGCTTACAGGAACCAACCCTGTATTTCCTCTAGGAGCAATGGTTCCATATTTGTGAATTCAGTGTTTGTAATGTGATATTAGAGAACAACTCCCTCAGATAATAAGCATCAACTGTACTTAAAATTAAACACTATGACTCTAACTTAATCAGTTTAACCACTCATTGTTGATCAATATTTAGGTCAATTCAAACCTTTTTACATTACAGCCAGTGTGTGCATGTCTCTATATACACCTATGCAAATATTTCTCTAGGATAGATACCCAAAAGTACAAGTTGATTCAAAGAATGTACTCATTTAAAGTATTGATAGATATTGCTAAACCACATTCTCAAAGGCTCCTTCAATTTATGCTTCTACTAACAGTTTATGAAAGTGCCTCTTTTTCTGCATCTTTATCAAACTGGATATTACCAATATTTTTTACTTATTATATTTTATTTCCTTTTGAGACAGGGTCTTGCTGTATTGCCCAGACTGGTCATGAACTCCTGGGCTCAAGTGATCCTCCCATGTCAGCCTCCTAAGTAGCAAGGACTACAGGTGCGTACCACCACACCCAGCTAATTGTTAACTTTTTGTAGAGATGAGGTCTCGATGTGTTGCCCAGGCTGCTCACGAACTCCTGGGCTCCAGTAATCCTCGTGCCTCAGCCTCCAATGATTTTATTTTTTTAATTTTTTATAAAATTTTGGCAAAATACACAAAACATAAAATTTACCAGCTTAACTGTTTTGAAGTATACAGTTCAGTAAGTACATTCATAATGTTGCACAACCATCACCACCACACATCTGCAGAACTCTTTTCATCTTGTAAAACTGAAACTCTATACCCATTAAGCAATAACTCCCCACTTTCCCCTGTCCCCAGCCCCCGGCAATTATCGTCATATTTTCTGTCTCTATAATGTTTTTATTTTTTATTCTTTTGAAACAGGGTCTCGCTCTGTTGCTCAGGCTGGAATACAATGGTGTGATCATAGCTCACTGCAGCCTTGACCTCCCAGGTTCAAGTTATCCTCCCACCTCAGTTTCTGGAATACCTGGGATTACAAGCGTGTGCCACCATGCCTGACTATTTTATTTTATTTTATTCTATTTTATTTTATTTTTGGAGAGAGAGGGTCTCACTATGTTGCTCAGGCTAGCGTCAAACTGCTGGGCTCAAGCAATCCTCCCACCTCGGCCTCCCAAAGTGCTGGGATTACAGGTGTGAGCCACTATGCCTGGCCTCTAAGATTTTAACTACTCTAAGTACCTCATATAAGCTGACTCGTACAGTATTTGTCTTTGTCTGACTGGCTTATTTCACTTATAATGTTCTCAGATTTCACCTGTCTCAAAAAATAAAATAAAATAATATTGATTGAGACTTAATTTGTAGCCTGACCTACCAACACCTGCCTCACGCACAGCACGCCCATCTAGATTTCAATTGTAGTTGCTATGCGTATGGTGGCTCAGTTCAGCTGGGCTCAATTCCTGGTGCTGATTGTAATGCTACTTTGGGAAGCTAAGGAAGGGGGATTGCTTGAACCCAGGAGTCAAGGCTGTAGTGAGCCATGATTGTGCCACTGCACTCCAGCCTGGGTGACAGAGCAAGACCTTGTTTCAAAAAAAAAAAAAAAGGAAGAAATGATTACAACCATCGATTAGTCATTAGTGCCATGCCTTAGCTGAGAACTTCTTCTCTGGGCCATTCTGCAGCCCTCTGGAATGGCTTTAGGACCTGGCTACCAGGCTCCCCTTATCCCAGTGTCTTGCTCTCATCCTCAGTGGCTTCAGCATACTTATTTATTTTATTATTTTTTTTGGTGGGGGGACGGAGTTTCGCTATTGTCGCCCAGGCTGGAGTCCAATGGCACGATCTCAGCTTGCTGCAACCTCCGTGTCCCGGGTTCAAGTGATTCTCCTGCCTCAGCCCCCTGAGTAGTTGGGATTATAGGTGCCCGCCACACACCCAGCTAATTTTTTGTATTTTTAGTAGAGATGGGGTTTCACCACGTTGGCCAGGCTGGTCTAGAACTCCTGACCTCAAGTGATCCACCTGCCGTGGCCTCCTGAAGTGCTGGGATTACAGGTGTGAGCCACCGTGCCCGGCCTCATCCTTATTAATTACAGCACCACCACCTGTGCTCATGGTCCCTTTACCTCCTCTGCTCCAGTAACCTCGAAAGGCCAGCCACATCACAGAGCTGCTTCCATTTCAGCCTCTCAACTCCATCTCTCCTTTTCCCTTAGAATAACTGGGGCTGCCCATTATCCTTGCCACAGCCTCCTCTGCTTCCTTGCTTATTGTTCCTTTTCTACCTCCTCCCTCAGTCTGGACTCCACGGTCGGCTCTTCAACCATGTTCCTGCTAGTGGCTTACGGTTCCTGTTCTCCAACTTTCTAATCTACCTACTGTGTCATCCCCAAGCAGGGGATTCCCTGCCATCTACTTCTGCAACTCTCAGGCTGGCAGAAGTGGCCTCCATGCTGCCCAGTCAGAAGGGCCTGTGTGGCCAACACAGCTGCCGCCCCAGTTCCATCCTTCATTCTCTTTCCTTCCAGTTGTCCAGGCCTTGCCATCTGACTGGCCTGGAGAGTAGGGAAGAGATGGGGAAAACAAAGGAGGGGTGCAAACATCTGGAGCTCAGTGCCCTGGTCTGCTCAGCCTGGGGGAGATTCTCCTCCCTCCTCTTCCTCCCCTGCTCTGTTCCTTCACCTTCTTCCGCCTTGAGGACTCCCTGATTCCCTTATATATCCATGAAAACTTTTACATCACTAAATAAATTGCCTTTTTTTTTTTAAATGAAGTCTCTCTCTGTTGCCCAGGCTGAAGGGCAGTGGCATGATCTCGGCTCACTGCAACCTCCGCCTCTTGGGTTCAAGTGATTCTCCCACCTCAACCTCCCGAGTAGCTGGGATTACAGGCGTGCGCTACCATGCCTGGTTGACTTTTTTTTTTTTTTTTTTTTTTTGGATTTTTAGTAGAAACAGGGTTTTACCATGTTGGCCAGTCTGGTCTCAAACTCTTGACCTCAAGAGATCTGCCCACCTGGGCCTCCCAAAGTGCTGGGATTACAGGTGTGAGCCACCATGCCCCAGTGAAATTGCTTAATTTCACAAACATTTTGAGAGTCAACTGGGAACTGTCAACCTAGAAGGAAGCTGAAGCAAAATTAATATAAGTAGAGAATTTATCTGGGGCTGGGCATAGTGGTACACTCCTGTAATCGAGGATTCTGGGAGGCTGAGTTGGGAGGATTGCTTGCCAGGAGTTTGAGAACAGCCTGGGCAGCATAGTGAAACCCCATCTGTACAAAAAATTTAAAAATTAGCCAGGCATGGTGGCTCATGTCTGTAGTCCCAGCTACTCAGGAGGCTGAAGCAGGAGGATTGCTTGAGCCCAGGAGTTCGAGGTTATGGTGAGCTAAGATCCTGCCACTGCACTCCAGTCTGGGCAACAGGAGCAAGACCTTTTCTCTTAAAAAAAAATAAATAACAATAGTAAGACAGAGGATCTATTTGGGCCAAGCTAGATATTGCAAACTGGGAGCATAGAGTCAAGTTACCCTCAGTATACATCCTGATTAGCAGCAGTTGTGAGGCAGGAGGCAGGCCTGTACTCCAGGCCAGATTGAAGACTAGCTGAAACAGGGAAGAGGGGAAAGCACCTCTCCATAACACATGCCCACCAGTGCCATGTCAGTTTACCAGTGCCCTGGCAACACCCAGAAGTTACTGCCCCTTTCCATGGCAACAACCTGGGAGTTATACCCTTTTCCTAGAAATTTCTGAAAAACCCATCCCTTAATTTGCATGTAATTAAAAGTGGGTATAAATATGACTGTGGAACTGCCCCTTAGCTGCTACTCTCCACACACTGACTATGGGCTAGCTCTTCCTGCAGGAGCAGTTACAGAGCGGTAACACTGCTGCCTCAATAAAACTGGTTTTGGTGGCGGGGCGTGGTGGCTCACACCTGTAATCCCAGCACTTTGGGAGGCCGAGGTGGGTGAATCACCTGAGGTCAGGAGTTCAAGACAAGCCTGACCAACATGGTGAAAATACAAAATACAAAAATTACTAAATTATTATTATTACTAAAAATAATAGCCTCCCAAGTAGCTGGGATTACAGGCATGCACCACCACCCCCTGCTAATTTTGTCTTTTTAGTAGAGACGGGGATTTCACCATGTTGTCACCTTGGTCTCGAACTCCTGACCTCAAGTTGTCCACCTCACCTTGGCCTCCCAGAGTGCTAGGATTATAGGCGTGAGCCACCGCGCACAGTCAAGAAACCTCTTTTCTACAAATAAATAAATAAAAAATTAGCCAGGTGTTGTGGTGCCCATCTGTAGTCCCAGCTACTCAGAAGGCTGAGGTGGGAGGATCGCTTGAGCCCAGGAGGTCAAGGCTGCACTGGGCTGTGATCATGCCACTGCACTCCAGCCTGGGAAACAAAGCAGGACCCTTTCTTAAAAAAAAAAAAAAAGGATTTGCATTAGTCAGATAAAAATTATTATTTTTTTCATAACTTTTTATTTTAGAAATGAGTGGAAAAAGTGCTCGCCCTTCAGGAACTCCCCAGTAGCTCACTGCCTCCAGTAGTTTTAGGGTCTTGAGAAGGGGCTAAAGTGAGGTGGAGAAAACCACAAATAGACTATAGTGCATGGACCCTACGTTGTTTTATCGGAAATTTGGAAATGTACATGAATATATTTCTTTCTTGTTTTTTTGAGACAGAGTCTCACCCTGTTGCCCAGGCTAGAGTGCAATGGCACGATCTCGGCTCACTGCACCCTCTGCCCCCCGGGTTCAAACGATTCTCCTGCCTCAGCCTCCCGAGTAGCTGGGATTACAGGCGCCCACCACCACACCCAACTAATTTTTGTATTTTTAGTAGGGAAGGGGTTTCACCATGTTGGCCAGGCTGGTCTCGAACTCCTGACCTCGTGATCTGCCTGCCTTGCCCTCTCGAAGTGCTGGGATTACAAAAGTGAGCCACTGCGCCCCGCCCATTCCTTTACTTTCTTAATAAACTTGGTTTCACTTTATGGACTCACCCTGAATTCTTTCTTGAGCGAGATCCAAGAACCCTCTCTTGGGGTCTGGACTGGGACCCCTTTCCGGTAACACTCAACTTGAGGGTTGGTAAGAATTTACTGACAACAGTACAGGTTTTATTACCATAGAAAGAAGGAACGTTGCAGAAAAGTGCAGTGGGGCACGTCAGCAAGAGCACTGAGCCACTGCGGTGGTCTTTTCCTTAGGGATATTTATGGACCTAAAGCAGGAGATGAAGGGTAACTTGCACGATAAATGATTACATTTTTAGACATTTTGTTGCCTTGATGTTAGCAAGGGTTGAACAATGAGTTTCGGCATGCATGCATTCTGGGGATGTACAGAAATCCTAGTTACTCACACATTTTAAGTTGAAAAGAGGCCTGGAACCAAGTGTCTTTAGATAATAGGAAAGTCTAATTACTTCTAAATTCCTCAGATAAGGAGTTTTTGTCTCTGGAGCCTGCTGGATGGTCACCAGGGGATTTTGCTTGCTTTATTTATTTACTGACAGTGTCTTGCTCTGTTGCCAAGGCTGGAGTGCAGTGGCATGATCATAGCTCACTGCAGCCTCTACCTCCTGGGCTCAAGCAATCCTGCCGCCCCAGCCTCCCAAGTGGCTGAGACTACAGGTGCAGAACACCAAGCCTAGCTACTTTTTAAATGTTTTTGTAGAGACAGGGTCCCCGTATGTTGCTCAGGTCGGTGTCGAACTCCTGGGCTCAAGTTATCCACTCACTTCAGCCTCCCAAAATCCTCTACTTGCTTCTTTTTTTTTTTTTTTTTGAGATGGAGTCTCACTTTGTCGCCCAGGCTGGAGTGCAGTGGCACAATCTTGGTTCACTGCAACCTCTGCCTCCCGGGTTCAGGCGATTCTCCTGCCTCAGCCTCCCAAGGAGTTGGGACTACAGGTGCGTGCCACCATGCCCGGCTAATTTTTGTATTTTTACTAGAAATGGGGTTTTGCCATGTTAACAGGCCAGGCTGGTCTTGAACTCCTGATCTCAGGTGATCCACCCGCCTCAGCCTCCCAAAGTGCTGGGATTACAGGCGTGAGCCACTAAGCCCAGCAGTCCTTTACTTTCTTATTAAATGTGCTTTCTCTTCATTCTGTTGGCTTGCTCTTGAATTCCTTCTTGTGCAAAGCCAAGAACCCACGTGGCCTCCCAGGTTGACTGAATCCCAAAATTGGGGGTTCAGCCTGTGACAAAAATATTCATAAAACTATAAATTAAGCAATATATTTATTGAGAAAACACTTATAACAATATAGCAGACAATAGATTGGTATCTTCAATAAATAAAGGGGTCATACAAATGGATTTTAAAATTAAGATCCCAATAAATAAATGAGTAAAAGGGCCAGACATGATGGCTCATGCCTGTAATCCCAGTACTTTGGGAAGCCAAGACAGGAGGACCCCTTGAGCCCAGAAGTTGGAGGCTGCAGTGAGCTATGATTTTGCCACTATGTTCCAGCCTGGGAGCAGAGCAAGACTCCGTCTCTAAGTAAATAAATAAGTAAAAACTGCTAACAATTTATAAAAAACAGAAATACAAATTTTAAAATGTTAATTTATACTAGTAATTAATTGATTTTTTTTTTAAGATGATAATTTTGTTCTTGTTGCCCAGCGTGGAGTGCAATCGCGGGATCTCAGCTCACTGCAGCCTCCACCTCCCAGGTTCAAGTGATTCTCCTGCCTCAGCCTCCCGAGTAGCTGGGATTATAGGCACATGCCATCACGCCCGGCTAATTTTTTTTAATTTTTAGTAGAGACGGGGTTTCACCATGTTGGCCAGGCTGGTCTCGAACTCCAGACCTCAGGTGATCCTCCTACCTTGGCCTCCCCAAGGTGCTGGAATTACAGGCGTGACCCACCACGTCCAGCCTAATTGCAAATTAAAACATCTTTTTTACCAGTGCACTGATAAGAGAGATTTATAAAATTGTTTTCATTACTTTTGATTAGGGTGCAATTAGGTGTGCATTCCTTATGGTACTTGGTGTTGATAGTACACAATGATGCAAGCTTTCTAGGAAGTTTTTTGCAGCATGAATAAAAAGACTTGCAAATGTTTTTGACTCAGTAATTTCAATACTAGGTCTCTTATAAGGAAATAATCAGAAATATATATAAAAATATATAAGAATAGTCAATACAGCAAAAAACAAAATGATCAGTGTCTAAAAATAAGAAAATTATTACAAAATTACAATAGAACCCTATCATGAAAAAAGATCATTCAACCACTGCAAATAATGCTTATGAAGAATTTACAACGACATGGGAAAATACTCAACATACATTGCAGTACATGAAAAATCAGGACATGGACCTATATGTTTTATGTTTGCAACCATATAAAAATATGTGTACAATATATTCATATGTAGCAGATACTCTGCTGAAGATGTAACTTGTGAGTTTTATTTTCACTGCTTTTCCAAAGAATGCCAGAAAGTCTGCCCCCGGGTAGCTGACTCCCCACGGAGCTCCCCTTCCTCTAGGGAAAGTAAAAGGAATTTAGCTGTTTTAAGGGCTGGTCCTCCAACTGGAGACAATCAGGCTCTATTGTCAGAGAAGGTAGGGAACCCTTGACCTACCTTTATGTATGAAAGGCACACCAAGGATGCCTAAAAACCAATTGGAAGTCGCTCTTCGGGGAAGTTTGTAGCTCTATGGTCCGGGAAGGAATTAGAACAAGCCCATTTGGGAATGATAGTAGAGGAGTTAAAATTTTAAAAAGTAAAAATAGAACAAGCCCAGTCTGGTTTAAGGGTTGAAAACACCTGGGCAAGAAAGAAAAAGTTGTTATTGTCTGGAATGGGTGTTCCTCTGAGCCAGTCCTGACATAGTGCTGGGGCTGGCGGCGGGCTTGCGGGGCGAGGCTTTGCGGGGGCCTGAAAGGGCTGGGTACTATGAAGCCCTGGGAACTGGTAAGGACTCTGGATTAGCTAGTGCGGGGACAGAGGAAATTCTTCCTCTCTGGCCAGCAGTTACCGCCTTGGTGGGAACGCGCAGGAGCAGCGAAGAGTGACACCTTGTGGTGGTTAAGAGCAAGGGCAGAAACAGCCACAGACCACCGCTAGGGACTCCTGGGCTCCGCTCCAAAGGGTATGAATGTCCACAGGACTCCTTTGTGCATGACATATGCCTCAGGTTCCTGGGCAATCCCAGAGAAGGAGTAGCTCTAAGAAGGAGGTAATTGGCTAAGTCAGTAGTTAAAGGATAGAGCTAGTTTTTAGAAAAAGTTTTAAATGCATCTTGATTGTTATGGTACAGCTGGCCACTGCTGGGGCTCAGAAAACAATAGCCTAAAATGAGAACCTCAGCAGCAGCTTCGTAAGCAAACGTTTTCCTCTGACTTTCTCTTCCATGCCTTTCTCTCAGTACCATTCTCCCCTGCGGTTACCCATAGAAATCAGAGTCCCTTTTCCCTATAGTCAGCCATAAAACTTAAAAATGCTACTCTAGGCCGGGTGTAGTGGCTCACACCTGTAATCCCAACACTTTCGGGAAGCCGAGGTGGGCAGATGACATGAGGTCAGGAGTTCGAGACCAGCCTGGCCAACGTGGTAAAACCCCATCTCTACTAAAAATACAAAAATTAGCTGAGTGTGGTGGCGTGTGCCTGTAGTCCCAGCTACTTGGGAAGCTGAGGAAGGAGAATCGCTTGAACCCAGGAGACAGAGGTTGCAGTCAGCCGAGATCGCGCCACCGCACTCCAGCCTGGGTGACGGAGTGAGACTCCATCTCAAAAAAACAAAACAAAAAAATGACTCTAATTTCCCCTCCACCTTTCTGTGTCAAACTGCCCATAAAGAAACTAACTGGGCCGGCTACAGTGGCTCAGGCCTATAATACCAGCACTTTGGGAGGCTGAGGCGGGCAGATGACACAAGGTCAGGAGTTTGAGACCAGCCTGGCCAACGTGGTAAAACCCCATCTCTACTAAAAATACAAAAATTAGCCAGCCATGGTGGCGTGTGCCTATAGTCCCAGCTACTCGGGAGGCTGAGGTGGGAGAATGGCTTGAATCTAGGAGGTGGAGGTTGCAATGAGCCGAGACCATGCCACTGCACACTAGCCTGGGTGACAGAGCGAGACTCTGTCTCAAATAAAAACAAAACAAAAAAATTATCTAGGTGGGTGCAGTGGCTCATGCTTGTAATCCCAGCACTTTGGGAGGCAGAGGCAAAGGTTTAATTGAGCTCAGGAGTTCAAGACCAGCCTGGGCAATATAGGGAGACCCCCTGTCTTTACAAAAATAGAAATTAAAAAATTTGCCTGGTGTGGCGGTGCACCCCTGTGGTTCCAGCTACTTGGGAGGCTGAGGTGGGAGGATTACTTTAGCCCAGAAGGCTGAGGCTGCAGTATGCCGTGATCACGACACTGTACTCCAGCCTGGTGACAGAGCAAGACCCAGTCTCAAGAAAAAAAAATTATCTGACTTAACTTGTTTGACTGTAGATCATAAGACCTCCATTCCCGGCAGGTCCCTGCCCCTCACCCAGAAGGAAGGAATGCTGCAGAGAAAGTCCAAGAATCTGGAGAGACAGGCTGGGCTGGGTTTCCCCACTCAGTCTATTAGCAGTAGACCATATTCTTTCTGTCCATATATATATATATTTTATTTTATTTTATTTATTTTTTTATTTTTATTTTTTTTTGAGATGGAGTCTTGCTCTGATGCCCATGCTGGAGTGCAGTGGCACAATCTCAGCTCACTGCAACCTCTGCCTTCCAGGTTCAAGCGATTCTCCTGCCTCAGTCTCCCTAATAGCTGGGATTACAGGCACATGCCACCACACCCAGCTAATTTTTGTATTTTTAGTAGAGATGGAGTTTCGCCATGGATAGAGGTATTTTAACTGGGGTGAGATATATCTCATTGTAGTTTTGCTATGCATTTCCATTATGAGTAATGAGATGGAGGATATTTTCATAACTGTTGGCCATTTGTACGTCTTTTTTTTTTTTTTTTTTTGTCTGAGATGGGGTCTTGCTCTGTCACCCAGGCTGGAGTGCAATGGCATGATCTCAGCTCACTGCAACCTTCGCCTCCCGGGTTCAAGTGATTCTCCTGCCTCAGCATCCCAAGTAGCTGGGATTACGGGTGCCCACTACCATGCCCAGCTAATTTTTTTGTGTTTTTAGTAGAGACAGGGTTTCACCATGTTGGCCAGGCTGGTCTTGAACTCCTGACCTCAGGTGATCCGCCCCCCTCAGCCTCCCAAAGCATTGGGATTACAAGCGTGAGCCACCGCGCCTGGCCCAATCATATTTTTACATGGCTCTCCATACTTTGTTAAACCTAAGCATAAAAATGGACAATTCCACCTGTATCTTTGAATCTTCATTAATTGTATACTTGTTAAATAAATCTGTGTGCTTTTTCTCTTATTAACCTGTCTTTTCCAAGTTGATTTTTCAGGGAAACTTCAGAAGGCCAAGAAGAACTTATCCTCTTGGCCTCTACACCATACGCATATACATTAAAAAAAAAAGGGGCCAGGTGTGGTGGCACATGCCTGTAATCCCAGCACTTTGGGAGGCCGAGGCGGGTGGATCACCTGAGGTCAGGATTTCGAGACCAGCCTGGCCAACATGGCAAAACCCCATCTCTATTAAATTAAAAATACAAAAATTAGCCCTGCTACTCGGGAGGCTGAGGCAGGAGAATTGCTTGAACCCAGGAGGTGGAGGTTACAGTGAGCCGAGATCGTGCCGCTGGACTCCAGCCTGGGCAACAGAGTGAGACTATGTCTCCAGTAAATTAATTAATTAATTAATTAAAGTATGTAGAAATCAACCTCATTTTTTTTAAATGGCTGAATAGAATTCCAAGGTATAGATGTTCCATATGTTTTAAAGCTAGGCCTCTGTCCACAAACATTTAAATAATTTGGTTGTTTTTCTGTTTTTGGTTATAAATATTGCTGTAATAAACATTCTTGTACATATATTGGCATATTTTTGTGATTACATCTACAAGATATATTCCAATTTATACTAAAACCAACAGTGTGAAAGTGAATTATTTTCTTACCAACACCATTGTGAATTATTACACTTAAAAAAATTTGCCCATACCCAATACTATAGGATAAATATTATGTGTGCGTACATATATACATACATATATATATATATATATGCTTTCATTTGCATTTTAAAAATTATTAATGGGCTGGGCGTGGTGGCTCACGCCTGTAATCCTAACACTTTGGGAGGCCGAGGCGGGTGGATCACTTGAGGTCAGGGGTTTGAGATCAGCCTGTCCAACATGGTTAAACCCTGTCTGTACTAAAAAAAAAAAACAAAAAATTAGCCAGGCTTGAGGATTGCTTGCACCCACGAGCTGGAGGTTGCAGTGAGCCGAGATCATGCGACTGCACTCCAGCCTGGGTGACAGAGTGAGGCTCTGTCTCAAAAAAAAAAAAAGATTAATGGCTTGGCATGTGGTGGCTCACACCTGTAATCCTAACATTTTGGGAGGCTGAGGTGGGAGGATCGCTTGAGGCCAGGACTTTAAGACCAGCCTGGGCAACATAGCAAGAACTTGTCTCTACAAAAAATAAAAATATTAGCTGGGTGTAGGGCATGCACCTGTAGTCCCAGCTACTTGAGAGGCTGAGGCTGGAAGATCACTTGTGCCAGGAATTTGAGGTTTCAGTGAGCTGAGATGGCACCACTGCACTCCAGCCTGGGCAACAGAGCAAGACTCCGTCTTGGAAAAAAAAAAAAAATTCAAGTTGCCTGTGTGTATATGAAGCGAATCAAACACACAGTAGTAAAAGCCCACTAAGGGAACAGTAAAAGCCCATTAAGGGAACAGTCTCTGGCACCAGACCATTCCCTGAGGATGTTTCCATCTCCAGGCCATGTGGCTCGGTAAATCTCATAGTTAGTGGCTTTAATATTTGTAATAGGTGTAGCTTGGGAGCAGCAGTCTGGTTTGACAAGCCGGTTAGGGAACTTAAAGCCACTTTTGCTTGCCAAGAGTCACTGCTTTTACTGAAGGTTACAAGATTTTTTTTTCTTTCCAATAGTCAACTAATTATTTTAGGGATAATTTTCTTCCTATAAACCAAACAGCCAGGGGGCTACGAATATATATGCATGTATACATGCGTGTATGTATTTAAATTTTTTCCCTGCCTTGTTTTTCCTTCCAATCTTTATAATTAGTCTTTACTTGTAATAGCTTGGGGGGCATTGAAGATTACAGAGAGAAATCCCCGCTAAAACATACCCTGTCCCAAGCCACCCCAGCACCGCTCTTGTCTCTGTGTCTTGGCAAGGACCACCCCACACTGGGGCTGCCTCTGAGTCATTTTGTGCAGCCTGGAGCACCTCTGTGTCCTCCCACAAGTATTCTTGAATAGTGCAGTTCAGAATAGGGCGTGGGAACTGGCCAGAGGTTGTAAATCCATTCTCCTTCCTCCTCTTGGCAAGAAGGGGCTGGAACAGGGCCTGGGTTATCCAGTCCTGGAGAAGTTCAGGCCAGCACAGGAGAACTAAGAGAAAAGCCAGCATCCACCAAGGAGGAACACAAGGTCCAAAGCCTAAAGCTAAAGGGTCTCCCTCTGTCACACTTAATGCAAACCATTAATACAAATCCCAAGTGATACTGGCCTTGGGGGGATGAAAAAAATCCATTCTAAAAAAAAAAAAATTCCTGCTGTAGCTTTTCTTTTTCCATGGGCATGCGTCATGTGATACTTGATTTCACAATTATTCACTGACACTTTCTTGGACTGAATTTCACTCCTCCCTCTTTTAAGTCAACACTTCCCTGATCCCATTCCCCAGTGTCTCTGTCTGGGCATTTTTTTTTTTTTTTTTTTTTGAGACAGAGTGTCGCTCTGTCACCCAGGCTGGAGTGCAGTGGCGTGATCTCAGCTCACTGCAACCTCTGCCTCCCAGGTTCAAGCAATTCTCCTGCCTCAGTCTCCCAAGTAGCTGGGATTACAGGTGTGCACCACTATGCCCGACAAATTTTTTTTTTTTTTTTTTTTTTTTTTTAAGACAGAGTCTTGCTCTGTCACCCAGGCTGGAGTGCAGTGGCGTGATCTCAGCTCACTGTAAGCTCTGCCTCCCGGGTTCACGCCATTCTCCTGCCTCAGCCTCCCGACTAGCTGGGACTACAGGTGCCTGCCATCATGCCCAGCTAATTTCTTTTGTATTTTTAGTAGAGACGGGGTTTCACCGTGTTAGCCAGGATGGTCTCGATCTCCTGACCTCGTGATCCATCCGCCTTGGCCTCCCAAAGTGCTGGGATTACAGGTGTGAGCCACCGCACCCAGCCATTTTTTTGTATTTTTAGTAGAGATGGGGTTTCACCACATTGGCCAGGCTGGTCTCGAACTCCTGACCTTGTGATCCACCAACCTCGGCCTCCCAAAGTGCTGGGATAACAGGTGTGAGCCATTGTGCCTGGTCTGTTTTTTCGTTTTTTTGTTTTTTTTTTAATTAGAGACGAGGTCTTGCTATGTTGTCCAGGCTGGTCTCAAACGCCTGACTTCAGGTGATCCACCCGCCTCAGCCTCCCAAAGTGCTGGGATTACAGGCATGAGCCACTGTACCCAGCCTGGCATTCTTAAGATGAGCACCCCTTTAGCCTTTTCCTTAGGCCAGTCTTACAATATCCTACAACACTGTCCAATGGTCTTTTCCCAATCATATTTAGTGGCCCTGAGTCTGTGACACAACTAGCAAAAATGAGACACATACCCTGTGTGAGCCCAAAAGAGACTTGTTTCTTATTCTGACATTAGGAAGTAGTTTGGATGAACCAATGATGGAGGTCTTAGGTGGGTGCAGGTACTTCCTGCATCCTCAGGGCCCAAAGGGACTCTCTGCTTCAATGCCTGAGCCTTATCTGCTGGGAAGTGGTGGGGAGTCATTGGCCCTGATCATAACCAGTTGTTATGCAGAGTACCTGAATGGAAAAAACAAACAAACAAAAAAACATGACCCAGTGATATATTGCCTACAAGAAACACACTTCACCTACAAAGACACACATAAACTGAGAAGAAAGGGATGGAAAAAGATGTCCCGTGCCAATGGAAACTGGTAAAGAGCAGGAGTGGCTATGCTTATATCAGACTAAATAGATTTCAAGACAAAAACTATAAGAAGAGGCAAAGAAGGTCATTATATAATGATAAAGGGGTCATTCAGCAAGGGGATATAACAATTTTAAATAGATATGCACCCAAGACTAGAGCACCCAGATATATAAAGCAAACACTAAACAGCTAAAGAGAGAGAGAGACCCCAATACAATAATAACTGGAGACCTCAACAGTCTACTTTCAGCAGTGGACAGATCTTCTGGACAGAAAATCAACAAAGAAACATGGGACTTCATCTGCACTGTTGACCAAATGGAACTAATAGATATTTACAGATTGTTTCATCCAATGGCTACAGAATACACATTCTTTTCCTCAGCACATGGATCATTCTCAAGGACAGACCATATCTTAGGTCTCACAACAAGCCTTAACACATTAAAAAAAAATTGAAGTAATGTCAAGCATCTTCTCTGACCACAATGGAATAAAACTAGAAATTAATAACAAGAGAAATTTTGGAGATATACAAACACATGGAGATTAAATAATATGCTCTGGAATGACCAGTGGGGTCGATGAAGAAATTAAGAAGGAAATGGAAACATTTCTTGAAACAAATGATAATGGAAACACAACATACCAAAACCTATGGGATACAGCAAAAGCAGTGCTAAGAGGGAAGTTTATGGCAATAAACACTTACCTTAAAAAAGTAGAAAAACAGGCCAGGCATGGTGGCTCATGCCTGAATCCCAGCACTTTGGGAGGCTGAGGTGGGCAGATCACCTGAGCTCAGGAGTTCGAGACCAGCCTGACCAACATGGAGAAACTCCGTCTCTACTAAAAATACAAAATTAGCTGGGCGTGGTGGCGCATGCCTGTAGTCCCAGCTACTTGGGAGGCTGAGGCAGGAGAATCGCTTGAACCCGGGAGGCAGAGGTTGCGGTGAGCCGAGATCACACCATTGCACTCCAGCCTGGGCAACAAGAGCGAAACTCCGTCTAAAAAAAAAAAAAGTAGAAAAACATCAAATAAACAACGTAACAGTGCATCTTAAAGAAATAGAAAAGCAAGAGCAATCCAAACCCAAAATTAGTAGAAGAAAAGAATAAAGATCCCAGAGCAGAAATAAGTGAAATTGAAATGAAGAAAACAATAAAAAAATCAATGAAATGAGAAGTTGGTTTTTTGAAAAGATAAACAACCTTGACAACCTTTTAGCCTAAATAAGACTAAGAAAAAAAGAGAGAAGACCCAAATATATAAAATCAGAGATGAAAAAGGAAACATGACAATTGATACCACAAAAATTCAAAGGATCATCAGTCAATATTATAAGGAATTACATGCAAAAAATTGGAAAACTTAGAAAAAAATGGATAAATTCCTAAACACGTCCAGCCTACCAAGATTGAATAACGATGAAATGCAAAACCTGAACAGACCAACAACAAATAATGAGATCAAAGCTGTAATAAAAAGTCTCCCAGCAAAGAAAAGCCTGGGACGTGATGGTTTCACTGCTGACTTTTACCAAACATTTAAAGAGAACTAATACCAACCTTACCCAAACTACTCCAAAAATAGTGGTGGAGGGAATACTTCCAACTCATTCTACAAGGCTAGTATTACCCTGATACCAAAACGAAAGATACATCCAAAAAATAAAACTACAGGCTAATATCACTGATGAATATTGATGCAAAAATTCTCAACAAAATATTAGCAAATTGAATTCAACAACACATTAAAAAGATCATTCATCATGACCAAGTGGGATTTATCCCAGGGATGCAAGGATAATTCAATATACCCAAATCAATCAATGTGATACATCATATCAACAGAATGAAGAACAAAAACTACATGATAATTTCAATGAATGCTGAAAAAGCATTTGATAAAATTCAACATCCCTTCAGGATGAAAGCCCCTTAAAAACTGAAGGCACATACATCAACATAATAAAAGCCATATACAACACACCCACAGCTAGTTTCATACTGAATGGGGGAAAACCAAGAGCCTCTTCTCTAAGATCAAGAACATAACAAAGATGCCCACTTTCACCACTGTTAATCAACATTGTTCAGGAAATTCTAGCTAGACCAATCAGACAAGGGAAATAAATAAAGGGCATCCAAACTGGAAGGGAAGAAGTCAAATTATTCTTATTTGCAGATGGTATAATCGTATTTTGGAAAACTCTAAAGACTACACACACACACACACACACACACACACACACACACACACAAAACTATTAGAACTGATAAATCAATTCAGTAAAGTTGCAGGATACAAAATCAACATACAAAAACCAATGGCATTTCTGTATGTCAACAGCAAACAGTCTGAAAAAGAAATCAAGAAAGCAATTCCATTTACAATAGCTACAAATAAAATAAAATACTTAGAAATTAACCAAAGAAGCCAAAGTTCTCCACAATGAAAACTATACACTGATACAAGAAATTAAAGAGGACACAAATGAAAAGATATTCCGTGTTCATGGATTGGAAGAATCAATATTGTTCAAACATCCATACTACCCAAAGCAATCTACAGACTCAATGCAATCTGTATCAAAATATCGATGACATTCCTCACAGAAATAGAAAAAAAAATCCTAAAATGTATATGGAACTACAAAAGACCCGCCATAGCCAAAACTGTCCTAAACAAAAAGAACAAAACTAGAGTAATCACATTCCCTGACTTCAAATTATACCAGAGAGCTAAGTAGCCAAAGTGACATGGTTACTGGCATAAAAACAGACACATAGACCAATGGAACAGAATAGAGAACCCAGAAATAAATCCATACATCTACAGTGAACTCATTTTTGACAAAGGCGCCAAGAATACACATTGTGGAAAGGACAGTCTCTTCAATAAATGGTGGTGGGAAAATTGGATAACCATATACAGAAGAATGAAACCAAACCCTTCTCTCTCACCACATACAAACATCAAATCAAAATGGATTATACACTTAATTATAAGACCCCAATCTATGAAACTACTGAACAAAAACATTAGGGAAACTCTCCAGGACATTGGAGTGGGCAAAGATCTCTTGAGCAATACCCTACAAGCGCAGGCAACCAAAGCAAAAATGGACAAATGGGATCACATCAAATTAAAAAGCTTCTGTGCAGCAAAGGAGACAATCAATAAACTAAAGAGACACCCTGTAGAATGGGAGAAAATATTTGTAAACTACCTATCTGACAAGGAATTAATAACAGAATATATAAGAAGCTCAAACAATTTAATAGCAAAGATCTAATAATCTAACTGAAAAATGGGCAAAAGATCTGAATAGAGACTTCTCAAAAGAAGACATACAAATGGCAAACAGATACATGAGAAGGGGCTCGACATCATTGATTATCATAGAAATGCAAATCAAAACTACAATGAGACATCATCTCACTTCAGTTAAAATAGCCTTTATTCAAAAGACAGGCCAGGCACAGTGGCTCACGCCTATAATCCTAGCACTTTGGGAGGCTGAGGCGAGTGGATCACTCGAGGCCAGGAGTTTGAGACCAGCCTGGCCAACATGGTGAAACCCCGTCTCTACTAAAAATACAAAAATTAGCCGGGTGCAGTGGCGCATGCCTGTAGTCCCAGCTACTTGGGAGGCTGAGGCAGGAGAATCGCCTGAACCCAGGAGGCGAAGGTTGCAGTGAGCGAAGATTGAGCCAGTGTTGGAGGAGGGGCCGGGTGGAAGGTGATTGAATCATGGAGGCAGACTTCCCCCTTCCTGTTCTCATGATAGAGTTCTCACAGAGCTGGTTGTTGTAAAATGTGCAGTACCTTCCCCTTTGCTCTCTCTTCCTCCTCCTCCAGCCACGTAGGACTGGCTGGCTTCCCTTTGTGCACACGATGCAGTCTCACTCAAGCCTCTCAAAGAGTCCATGGCTTTCGTATTATGCCCATTTCAGAGATGAGTGGACCAAAGCTCAGCGAGATTAGATGATGTGCGTAAGGCTGCAGGGCTGGAAAACAGTGTCATCAGGTCTGTGACCTGGGTCTGCCTCCTGAAGCCTGAGGTCACCCTCCATTCAGCCACATGACAGGTCAGTGGACCTGTGGAGAGTGAGTGTTGGGTGGGTACGAGTGCCATCACTCCTCTCCCATGGGTCCCTACTTGGTGCCAGGTGTGTGGGCAGTATTTGTATTTTTACAATGATTCTTTAATACACGAAAAGCACAATCATCATCATCATCATCCTCCCTCCATATTGTGCACAGGCTCAAGACACCAAGGTTCTCAGAAATCTTTGTTTTGGGTAACAAAAATACTTTTCCTAATGTGAAGCTATTGTTAAACCATGTCTCATCATCATCTGTTAGCCCCAACATCAAAAACGACAACAAAAATAACAGCAAAGCCTCACAATAGATACACAGCACTCTCAGGACTCGCAAGAAAAAAATGTGATGAAAAACTAGGCTGAGACCGTAACACGAGGTCTGGTGATCTCTGTGTAGAGTCTTCATTACAGTGTCCCTTAAAATAGCCGGGCTTGAGCCCTTAGTAGGTTTTGAAATCAATTTAGTGAATCTTAGCCCGTATTAAAAAAATAGACTTTTGAATTAGTCTACATTTTAAGAGTAAGTAGTGTTTTATAAGGCTTCTGTTTCAGTCCTGTAGGTGTATGTGTGTGTATGTGCGTGCATGTGCACGTGTGTGCGTTGGGTGTACACTTCTTGCTGTGGTTATTTATCAGAAAGGCTTAAAGGCCCTGCTGTTGCGAGCATTCATGAATGCCTCTGAGGAGTTAATGAAAAGGTAGCTGGGAATGTTCCCTGATCTTGTGCACCCACAGGGACCACGAATGCCTGCACGTGCGGGATTTATAATCAGGGCCAGTGCTTCACAGGGCTAGAATTAGATATTGAGTCAAATCATGAATGCATGCCACTTTAAAGCAGATGACACCTGGGTATAATTTGGAAGATGAACAGTCAGCTAGGGAGTTGGGCTAGATAGAGCCATTCAGACCAAGTAATTGCAAGAGTGATAAGAGAGTAGGGAATGGCAGGCCCTTAGAACTACTGTGGCCTAACTGCTACCTCACTGTCTTTAGGTACATTGGGAAATAATTTCTCCTACTTCTTATGGACAGTAATTATTTATTACTCCTTTTAAGAATAATTTGAGACACACACATATATATATATTGTTTATATATGTGTGTAAATACATATATGTGTAAATATATATATTTATCTTATGTATCTTAAAAGGAGTAATAATGATAAATAATTATATGTATTTAATTATAAATAATTATCTATAATTAAATAAGTAAATATAATTATAAATAATTGCAATAAATATAATAAACACAATTATATAATATTAATATATTAATAATACTAATAATATATAAGTATATATAATAATTATAATCAATAAATATAATAAATAATAATTATTATTCCTTTTAAAATAGATAAATATATGTATAGATATACATATATAGATATACATCTATATATATATACTTATCTCCAAAATATTAATAAATAGCAGCAGCAGCAATTCCCATGGTTATTGTCTACTGGCTGTCAGGCACCCTATTAGGGGCTCTCCTGCATTATCTTTCATCTTCTCAAACATCTTACAAGGTTGTTCTTGTGGAAGTTTTACACATCAAAGGACAGCGGGTATTGGTTTTGGGGAGTTAAAGGGAAAGATAAGCGGGTGGTCCAAGCACAAGGCTCGTGGGATTCCATGAACTTGGTGACTTGAACCCTCTGTAGCTCTGCAGGTTCAGACACCCACTTTTGTCAACAAGCTGAGAGCTGGTATCTCGGATACGGGTCATGTCATCCAGTGGAGGTGTGGACAACCAGAATGCCTCCTGATTAACCTATGATGACAATAACTGTGACACAGCCTGGACCACTGGAGCCAACCTGACCAGCCCATGTGAACTCATAACCCAGTTAGAATTTTGCCTGGTGAATGTTGATGTAGAAAGGGGGATGGGAGGTGACTATAAAGGTTTAATGTTATCTAGTAAGAATGGCTTGAAGTGAGGCTTACCAATCTTTACCTTTTACCTACATAGTTTCTTGATGAGAAGGAGACCAGACCCAGGGAACTTTCTGGAGATGAGTGTGGTAGGCTGTGCCCCCCAAGCTCCAGCGCTCAGAGCTAGAGACTTCAACTTGGGGTTGAGCCAAAGTACTGGCCTTTGATACCTCACCTAGACTGAAGAGAGGGCAGGGCCAACGTGACTTGCCTGCCTGGATGCACTGTGAGAAGCTGGAGCAGAAGGAAAGCAAAAGGAAGCCAGCTGAGGAGCTGGGGTGCAAGGGCCCTGAGACTGGGCAGGCCAATCAAAGAAGGCAAAAAAGTGTGCCATGCACAAGCAGTGCCCCAACTCCATAATCAACCCCTTCTGACATGTGAGGCCACATGGGTGATATGCTGTCTTGAGTCAGATTAGCTACTCTTATCCTGGGGAGAGAAGAATGAAAGGAGGGAAAGCGAGAGAGTACGTGTCCATCCAAGTGTTCCCTAAAATGGTCTGCAAGTCAGATGGGGAGAAGTTCCCTCATCTATGAGCCTGAGATGGGAATATGGGAAAAAGAATAACAGCGTCTACAAAAACGGCAGGCACTGCTCTTGGCCAGGATACTGGATATCTTTGACGAAGATGCATTTTTTTCTTCTGAGCTGTTCTTAGATGGACCCTGTCAGCCTGCTCTGGAACCCCAAAAAGGCAGGAGTAGAATTTGTTCATGCCCTTAGCACAGTGCTTAGCAGACTCTCAATATATATACAGAATACATGCATTTACTTCTCTCTCCTTTTTCTTCTTTCATGGAATCAAACTCTACCTTAAATTGACTATTATTCCTTTAGCTGTGTTATTATCCTCAATCAGATTGTTCAACATGTTCAACAAGTCAGAATGTTCAACATGATGACTTTGCACATCTCTGCTCCATACAATATGTATTGATCTTGTTGTTTAGCTCTTGGAGGACCATCTCATTTTCCCTCTTATACCAAGTTCTTTAGAAGTGCATTTCCCTGTAGCTGTCAAGAGCTTACTCTCTCATTCCCATTCCACAGTCATTTATGAGCGGAGCCAACGTTAAGATCCAAGGTCACGGGAAGAAAATGTTATTGGATAGACTGAACAACCCCTGTTAGACGTTAGCGTTTCACAGAACTCATCAGAGAAACCCAAGTTTTCACCAAACACTGCATTGATTTCCGCCTCCCACAGCAATTGGTTATTTTGCCCAAGAGAGGAAACTGTTTCCATTTCACACATGGTAAAGGACACCTCCTGATAATTTCCCTTTGGGGCCAGGAATTTAATCTTACTACTGGGTTAATGCTTTTACTTGGGTGGCTTTTTAACCTCAATAAGTGAGCTGTACTTCCTCCCACCATCACTTTCATAATTGCTGTGAAAAGAGGCCCTCGTGTGGGTTGCTGCAGAGACAGCCTGGGGAAAGCCGGTGAAGTTAAATGCGCTGCTTGAAAGCAGAGACACCCACTTCTAGCCCCTCCAGCCCGAGCAAGCCGTTAGATTTGGACCCTAGCAGGGACAAGGTCAATTTCTCTTTGCTTTTTTTCTTCCATTTCCTGTTCTTCCACTTCTTCTATTGCCTTCTCACAGCTATTCCAGGCTCTCTCCTTCTTTTTCTCTTCTCTTTTCGTGTTTTCAAACAACAGGATAACTTTCAAAGCCTTTCCTTTCTTTTTTCACTCTACCCACAACCCCTTGGCTGTTCAAATGCCTAAGTTCACCCTTCAGCTAAAGAGACAGTGCAACTTTTATAGTCAAGAATGTAGGCCAAGAAGCCAGACTTCCTGGGGCTGAATCCAATTTGCCAGGGAGACTTATGGAATCTCTCAGGTCCTCGGTTTCTGCATCTGTCAAGTGGGAATGATACTAATAGTTCTTATCCCAGAAGATTATTATGTGAGTCAAATCAGTTCATATGTGTAAAGTGCTTAGAAAGGTTACGTAACAGACTTAAGAGCATTTGCTGAGAAACAACCACCACAACAACACATCACAAGTGGGTAAGGATGAACAGAAAGTGCAAACGGCCTTAGAACAGAGATCATATTCCACCCTTTGTCCCTCTGATTGAGGAGAGGGGATTGCCTGCATCTGTATTTCTTCCCCTAGCATATCCATATATTCTAGAACTCTGGATATGTTCTTTGTGTAAGGTGAACTTAGTTCAGAAATATTTTCTCAGCTTTTACTCTCTTTTTACAGAGTAAGACTTGATCTCTTTTGTGAAGAGCTATTTCTGGCTAGCTTCAAACTACCATTTCAATTAGTGGCCATTGTTTATGCCCATGATGTATAAGCTGAACTGCCCCTGCATTCTTTATTATTTTTTTTGAGATGGAGTCTTGCTCTGTCGCCCAGGCTGAAGTGCAGTGGCACGATCTCGGCTCACTGCAGCCTCCGCCTCCTGGGTTCAAGAGATTCTCCTGCCTCAGCCTACCGAGTAGTTGGGATTATAGGCACCCGACACCAGGCCCAGCTAATTTTTTTTGTATTTTTAGTAGAGACGGGGCTTTGCGACGTTGGCCAGGCTGGTCTCAAACTCACGACCTCATGATCCACCAGCCTTGGCCTCCCAAAGTGCTGGGATTATAGGCGTGAGCCATCGCTCCTGGCCTGCCCCTGCATTCTATAATCCAGTCCCAAGGAAGGGGAGAAAAATGCCAGGAGAGCGTGGGGAAGAAAAAAGCAATCATCGCCCACCCACCAGAAAATCTCCCTGCTCTCATATTTACTCTTTAATGACAGAACTGGATTTATGTACACACTTAGCTAATGACATGTTTACATGTCTTGTCTCCTCTTGATCCTAAGGTAGTGTCTATTCCCTGCCTATGTCTTCTTGGTGCTCAGAACAGTGCTACATTTACCTATGGGTAGAAAATACAATTTGCTGACAAACTATAAACCAATAGAAATAGACCATGTATGAGACTAGTATTAAAGGTTTTAAAAATAGTCTGTTTTAAAAATACAGTCTGTCAAATTTATAAGCTTTAAATGACCAAAATTAAAGGAAAGAGTTAAAGAAAATGAGAGTGGTTTCTATTTTTTGAATCACATTTTCTGCTTTCATTGCCATATGCCTATAAAAGGAATTAGATATATAGTGGGTGTGAAGCACTTATGTAAGTTGTGTATATATATATATATGGTAGATTTATGTGTGTGAGGTATGTGTGTGTGTATTATGTGTGTGAATTAAGCTGTCAAGTCAGCACACACAAGGAGAAAATCATGTACAGAAGTGCTTCAGAAAATTGCGTATTATCACTTGAGGCTCCATACTTAGAAGCCCAAACACTAAGATTTAGCTTCTTTTGTTTCTATTTACATTCTCTCTGTCATCTCATTCTCTTTGGACCCCTGGAGGCTAGAGTCTAGTTTGAAAGGGAGGATACATGCAACAGGGTAAAAAATGTTTTCTTTACTTGTTTGTGCACTAAGATTTATGAAAATTAAATTCTTTAAAAATGCAACTTCACAGTGTGTGTGTATGTCTGTGGTGCGTGTGTATATATATACATTTGTTTGTTTGTTTGTTTGTTTTGTTTTGTTTTGGGATGAGTTTGGCTCTGTTGCCCAGGATGGGGTGCCTTGGTATGATCTCGGCTCATTGCAACCTCTGTCTCCGGGGTTCAAGTGATTCTCCCACCTCAGCCTCTGGAGTAGCTGGGATTACAGGGGCAAACCACCATGCCTGGCTAATTTTTGTATTTTTAGTAGAGGCGGGGTTTTGCCGTGTTGGCCAGGCTGGTCTCGAACTCCTGACCTCAAGTGATCTGTCTGCCTCAGCCCCTCAAAGTGCTGGGATTACAGCCGAGAGCCACCATGCCCGGCCCGTCTGTAGTATATTATAATCTATACACTTTGATTTTTATTATTTCACATAACTTTTACAACAAATCTGTAAAACACATTTTCCATTTACAGATCAGGAAACTAAGAGCATCAAAGTGATTTTCTCAGTGTAGGTGGTACTGGTAGGTTGGAACTGGGGAAGCAAGCTTACAGTTTGATGTTTACCCACTAGCACTACCTCCTTCGAAGCTGATCACAATCATAACAGTGAGAGAAGCTTTGAAACTCCCTTTTACAGCACTGGAAGGGACCTTAATTAAGACCTTTCTATTTACAGGGAAGGGAACTGAAGCCCAGAGATACCAAGAGTTGGCCCAGGTCACACCTTGGCGATTGTGGAAGGACTAAGAGAACAGGCCTGGCTCTGACACCCCGCCCTTTCTCCATCCCACCTCCTGCCGCCCCAGCCAGGAGGCCAGATCTCACAATGCAGTCAGAAAAATCCTTTGCTAAAAAATATTAAGACTAGAATGCTAAGAAGAAACATTAACAGTTCCATAGGAAAATGACAAAAAGCATGCAAAGGTAATTTATGAAGAAACAAATTTTTTTTTAAAGTTTGACTTATGTTGTCAAGTAAGAAATGCAAATTAAAAGAAAAACCATTTTGACTCAGTTGACAATGACTTTTTTTTTTTTTTAACCCATAGGTGTTGTTTCGAGAGGCAGGCCTTGCTGTATGACTGAAACACACTCTTGTAGCTGGTGGAAGTAAAACTATTACACTCTTTCAAGAAAGCAATTGGGCCGGGCATGGTGGCTCACGCCTGTAATCCCAGCACTTTGGGAGGCCGAGGCGGGTGGATCACGAGGTCAGGAGATCGAGACCATCCTGGCTAACACAGTGAAACCCCGTCTCTACTAAAAATACAAAAAATTAGCCGGGCGTGGTGGCGGGCACCTGTAGTCCCAGCTACTCGGGAGGCTGAGGCAGGAGAATGGCATGAACCGGGGAGGCGGAGCTTGCAGTGAGCCGAAATCACACCACTACACACCAGCCTGGGCGACAGAGCAAGACTCTGTCTCCCCAAAAAAAAAAAAAAAAAAAAAAAAGGAAAGCAATCGAGCATTGTGTATCTAGAACCTGAAAAATATTTAAGGCTTTTGATCTAACAATCTGAATCCTAGGGAAGCTTTCCAAAGATAATCAGGTATGTGACCAAAGAATATTACATGCAACATTATTTATAATGTTGAAAAATTGATCATCTCTTATGTCCCAAGTAGAATGGTTTAATAATGTAAACTGATGTGATGTGATGTGATATGATGTGAGCTGAGGTGAGGCAGCTTTAAAATCATAGCTTGGAATATTATTTGATAAACTGGGAAAAGGTTTGTGATATATTAAGTGAAAAGGAGATTCCAAAACGAAATAACCTGATTTTAAAATTAGTAGTAGTAGTGTATTGAGAAAAGGGTTGGAAGGGAATCAATTCAAGGCTATCATTTCTGGATAGTCAGTCTTGGAACATGCCCTGCTCTTAGTAAGGCATGCACTTTTATTTGTTGCTGGAATAAGCAAATGAATAAATTGTGGGGTTATGGATAAATCTTCTTCTCCATAGGTTTTGGAATTTCCCAAATTTTATACAATGAGAATGTATTTTTATCATAAAAACTAACCATTATGAAAAACATGTAGTATGTTGACACTCACTGAACAAGATAGAAAAAACCCTAGTAATTTTGTTCAATGTCCTTCAGTTTTACCATTTTCCAAAAGTTTAGAATACTGAAACCAACACTGGCTCATTTCCTTTTCATGGAGGGGGCTGGATGGATCCTTTAAAGAAGCCAAATCTTTTGTCATCTCTAGGCTTCAGGTCCCTCCTCCGGAAACAAAAGGAACTTAAGGTCCTTTCTGGCCTTAAAAAAGGGAGCTATAGATTCATTCCTGCTCAGTGGTCCTGGTTGATAGAATTCTTCCTTCATCAACAGCCTCTGCTAAAGAGCACCCTCAAAATTAAAGTCATGGTAAAAACTCTTGCCAGTTTTGCAGACATTTTTGTTTTGCTGCATGACTTTTGGACGAGAACTAGACTTGTGTCATTTCCATGTGAACAGACACGTGTTTTCCAGAGGGCAGACTGTGGTTAGGGCTGTGTCCCTGCGACCTTGTCTCTGCATAACCCAACGGGTCTGCATGAGAATAGGACTTTTCATCTCATTTTCACTGGTTTCATAATTAACCAAAGCACTTCGTATGTGCTAGAGGTCATGGTGGGAACGCTCAGGGTAAGGCTGTGGATGGTGCAGCTCAACCCATTTCTTATTTCTGAAGAACATTTTGAAGCATGCAGCCTATGGCTGGAAGGCAACTGAGTTCTATTCATAGAAAGGCAGCTCGATTTCTTTCCATGATATCCTTTCTTGAAAAAGTAAAAAACAAGCTGCTATGTGTCATCTCCAAGTATGGCAAATTGGTGCAGGAATTGTAAAAGAGCAGATTTCTTTACTGAGACCCATATCTGTTCCCCAACATCCCCCCTCCAAAGTGCGCCACCTCCAGTGGGCCTCCCTGTCATGCCCGGCCTGTGGACAGCCAGCCCCACCATCCCTCCCACCCCCTGCCAAGAATGGGGGGTGCCGTGTGGCCTGACAGTCTCTACCAGTCCTGCTCTCCCTTGGCTGACAAGCAAACCCATTTCTGGATGACGCGGAATGTGTCCTCTGCTCTCTGTGTTGTCTTTGGAGCTCAGGGGAGGGGTAAGGCCAAGCCATTACTAGGGTACTGGGAGCGGTGAAAAGGCCACATCCTTTCCAAGGAACACTTTTCCTGGAAAGCCCCTGGAGCTTAGCTGGCTCTCATCCTGTGAAGCCTGCTCTGGCCACTAGGGGGCAGGGCCATGAACTCAGCCCGGAAGGAGCCTGAGGGGCAGCCGGCACTCTGGAGGGACAGACATGTCGAACAGGCCACCAGGTGCAGACAGGCGAGGGAGGCAGTGGGGCGGAAAGGAAGATGCCTGGGGTGCATGGAAGTCAGTGCCCGTGGGTGCTGGCATCCTGCCTTCCCGGCCACCGCTAGATCAGGCTTCTGAGCCTGTTGGCCGTCAGGGCCGGACTGTGCCCCGTAGGCGCCATGGCAGTCCCTGTGGACTCCCCCACGCGTCACCAGGCAGCATACAGGTAACAGGTCTGGAAGGTCCCCAACAGACCAGCTGGACATGCTCGGACACTCTGGGGCTCCTCGTTCAGTGGCACAAACTCCAGGACCCAGTGGGGGAAGCAGGAACACACCAGGCTAGCAGTATGGCTAAATCCATTTATTCCAAAATAAAAAGCAAAATAAACAGGAGTTGCATCGCCAGGAAGTCACGACCCCATCCCCGCCTCCTTCCTCTGTCCTATGCTATCAAATAAATTCCCCAGCTGCAAATAATTATTAGAACCTCCCCGCCATGTGCCAGCTCCAATCTCCACTAGGTACTATACAGGGGCGGCCCTACCCCCCAGAATATATAAAACGTTACACAGACACAATGTGTACATGGGGGAAGGGGGGCCACCCTCAGCAGCTCATGCCCTTGCCTGGTCTACAGTTAGCCCCACTGTCCCGCCTCAGCTGCCTCTCTGACTAAGAAGACGGGAGCCTGAGGGAAAAATTGCTTTGGTGAAAGTAAGGAGGCCATGAGGCCTCCTCCGAACAAACCAACTCCCATCAGCCTCTGCCTCTTAAATAACAATCATCATCATCCAGAAATTTAAGGACTCAGCCCTGGCCAGGGTGGCAAAGGGTCTGTTTGTCTCTCCCTATTAGACAGGGGTCTTGTCTTGCTACTCTAATGGTAAAGGGGTGACTGGGAAGGGGTGGCAGGGACATGGTGGGGGTGGAGCCTCTGGCCCCACTTCTCCAGGCTTTGCTGACAGGGGCCTGCTTTTGTTTTTATTTTTATCCCATGACTTTTTTTAATCACGTTTTTTCTGTAACTTTTTTTTTTTTTTTTTTTTTGAGATGGAGTCTTGCTCTGTTGCCCAGGCTGGAGTACAGTGGTGCCATCTGGGCTCACTGCAACCTCTGCCTTTCGGGTTCAAGCAATTCTCCTGCCTCAGCCTCCCGAATAGCTGGGATTACAGGCGCCCGCCACCACACCTGGCTAATTTTTTGTATTTTTAGTAGAGACAGGGTTTCACCATGTTGGCCAGGCTGGTCTTGAACTCCTGACCTCAGGTGATCTGCCCGCCTCAGCCTCCCAAAGTACTGGGATCCCAAAGTGGGTGGATCACCTGAGATAGGGAGTTTGAGACCAGCCTGACCAACATGGAGAAACCCATCTCTACTAAAAATACAAAATTAGCCAGGCGTGGTGGTGAATGCCTGTAATCCCAGCTACTTAGGAGGCTGAGGCAGGAGAATCTCTTGAACCTGGGAGGTGGAGGTTCCGGTGAGCTGAGATTGTGCCATTGCACTCCGGCCTGGGCAACAAGAACAAAACTCCGTCTCAAAAAAATAAAAATAAAAAAGTTTTGGAAATAAGTTGTGGGAAAAAAGTTATGGAAAAAGTTATGGAAAAATATTCCAAAAAAAGTTTTACGAAAAAAAGTTATGTGATAAATATTAAATAAATAAAAGCAGGCCACTTTCAGCAAAGCCTGGAGAAGTGTCTGATGGGGGAGACAGGTGAAGATGAGATGAAGATCGCGGTCATCCAAAAGCAGGGAACTAGGCCCAGGGCGGTAGCTCACACCTGTAAGCCCAGTGAGCCACTGACCATAACATTTTTTATCCCGTAACTTTTTTATCCCATAACGTAACTTTATCCCATAACTTTTTAATCTCATAACTTTTTAAATCTCATAACTTTTTTTAATCTCCTAACTTTTTAAAATCCCATAACTATTTTTTCAGTATGTGTTCTTTTGGTAAACACTTGCAGCCGGGCGCGGTGGCTCACGCCTGTAATCCCAGCACTTTGGGAGGCTGAGGTGGGCAGATCACGAGGTCAGGAGTTTGAGACCAGCCTGGCCAACATAGTGAAACCCCCATCTCTACTAAAAATACAAAAATTAGCTGGGCATGGTGGCGTGCACCTGTAGTCCCAGCTACTCGGGAGGCTGAGGCAGGAGAACTGCTTGAAACCAGGAGGTGGAGGTTGCAGTGAGCCGAGATCGTGCCACTGCACTCTGGCCTGGGCAACAGAGTGAAATTCCATCTCAAAATAAATAAATTAATTAATTAGTTAAATGCTTGCATAGTCATATTACAATTTTGTAAAAATAAAAACACTATTTCATGCCAAGCATGCCTGGCATTTGCACAATCTCAATACCTTTAATACTATAGTTTTCAAGACACACAAAATAAAAATTTAAGGCAAAAACAGCACTTTGCAACAATAATTTATTACATACAGTAGCATCACAGCAGTATTCAATAATGCCACTTTAGGCAAAAGTCTTTCAGTATTTCCATTATAGATTCTGTTTACAAGAATTCCTAAATTGGTAAGTCATTATAAGAAAACTTGGCAAATAAAGTTTTGGACTGGAATTGGCATTTCTTTCTTTACTTTTCCTTCCCCTAGTTTCTTTCTTTTAAGCTACAGTATTCATATTTTAAAATGTTTTAATTTATTTCAAAACATTAAAATAGCAGTTACATTTTTTAATAGTTATACTATTGTAAAATGACTAAGAAAGTTTTAGAGAAACTATATTCTGGATAAGGCTGATTTACATTTTCAAATTTTCTAGAAATCAGCTTTGGTTTTAACATTAGTTTTTCAGTTCTGGAAAACCTATTAGTATTAATCAAATACTTCAAAATGATTATCATATACTGCAACCTTTAAATAAACAAGTATTTTGATTCTTTACCTCCTACAGAAATTCAAATTTATTCGGTTGAACTCACATTTTAAAATTCTATGTTTCCATGAACTCTAACCTTCTAATGTTGCCTGCTAAGCAAATTGAAAGCTGTCTTATACTGAATGAGAAAGAGAACAAATATCTGGCTGAATGAGGTATTGCAAAAGACTGCATGCCCTTTGAAGAAAGACTTAAGTTATTATAATATGATTTCCATCCTTGTTAGCTTTTTCTTAAATATATGACAAAAATACCTACACAAAAAGTAGTATCTCAGTTAATATAGTAAATTTATTTCCAGACAGACATTCAGCTTAAGTATGCCGGTATGTGAGTTAATCCAGAGGTACCTGATGAACACATTATTGTCAGATTGATTACAGATGCTAAACGCTATCCGAAGGTCATTCCTAGTCATTTACATTTATCAATGTAAAAGTGAAGTGATTTGAACTATTAAAATACCTTTGAAATAATTTATCAATGTATCAGATAAACCCAGTTTCAGAATGATAAAGAAAAACTGTTAGACCAAATAATGTGGCTAATTGACAGTGGTACGATTTCTAGCCCGAGGGTTTAAAATGGACTTAAAGTAACTGTCTTTAAACTGAACTCAAAGAATGCAAAAGCAGCAAGTTCAGAAAATAAAAGGCAACAACAGGACCTTAAGTCCATTTTAAACCCTCGGGCTAGAAATCGTACCACTGTTAATTAGCCACATTATTTGGTCTAACAGTTTATCATTCTGAAACTAGGTTTATCTAATACATTAATAAATTCATACAATTTGGAAGAGTCAGTTGAAGTCACAAGGACCCAATATTTGCATTTTTTTCCGTGAATCCAGGCAAATCAGTTATTTTGTCTGAAAAATAATACTGCTTTCCTATTAATGTCATATTTATAAAAGTATCATGAGGATGCCAAATGGAGACGGTCTAGTAACTACAAATCCCCACACCAGGGAGCGCACATACATCTCTCCCTACATCCTAATAATGTGATGTATTTTGGAATACAGACATTAGAACTTCATGAGGTTTTAACTGTTGATTCTTTCCCAAGCATCATCAAGTTATGATTTAGGCAACATATGACTGAAATAATTCATTCATAATATATAGGCGCATTCACATAAATATTGCACAAAATATGCCTCTAACTGAAACTGAAAGGTACAAAAACATATTTCACTCTTCGTAAAGAACTTTCGGAGGAAGTAGGACTCTGTGATTGTACAGACACTTTTCCTGATAAGACTTTGACATTCACAAACAGTAGATTGCACTGCAGTTTGTAAACATTTTAAGTCGCATAAACTTCTCCTTGATTTTCAAATATAGAATAATACTGTCTACTAAAACTCCTTTTTCTTTCAACCAAGTACTCTCACATATATTCATTTATAATATTATTTTTAAAGTGTTCTCCATTCAAGGAAAAGAAGTAATTTCCTATGTCAAAGTAGCCAATGTGGTTGAAGAATAGGTATGAGCCAGAGAGGTCTAGATGGTAAAATTAATCTTCTAGCCTCAGAGAAGCTCCGTGAACAGAGAGGAATGCCAGGTGTCACATAGCTTTCCTTCACTCGAATTCATTCCTGACTAGAGCCTGTATGCCTGTTTCAGGGACATCTAAACTCTTAAAGGATTTCTTATGATCTTTACTAAATACATTAAGAAGAATGCCAACCAGTGCCCTTTTGTGTACTGGGACATGTAGTCACGTGATTAAAACAGGGACCATGAACTCTGACTTTAAAATGTGTTATAGATATAAATGCTCTAAGCTAGGAAAGGTTTTCCACATCCACAATCAACGATGGGAGCCTTTCATTCCTCAGAAATAAGCCCTTTTTAGGTCATCAAAAAAGAGTACAACTGCCACAGCTCATGATGCAATATCTTCATAAGCCCAGAACACATACAAATCCTAAGGGAACTACCATAGTACAGTGCTCATTCTTGGCACCAAAACAAATAAAACACACTCTATCCTGCACATACCTGCCAGAGCAGGCCACTTTCCTCTTCTGGGAGATTTAAAAAGCTCCCCAAAATGTTATTACTCCCATCCCCAATACACAGAAAAAGGGGGAAAGGCTGTTTCCAGTGCTCCGCCTTTAAGCAACTGTAAATGTCAGTACTCACAGTGGCATATTACAAAGTAATAGACCGCGCACTTCAGGGCAAACCACATATTGAGCTGATGAAGAGCTCACTGTGATTAGGATTCGATCAAACATAATAGCAGAACATAAGCAAATTTTATCTGAATTCCATAATAAATATACATGCTGCAATAACATTAAAAAAGCATGGCAGCCTATCCCAAACCAGGAAGAATAGTTTTGTGCAAATAGTGGGTCTTTGTGTGTTTGAACACCCACCACATAAGGGCAAACTTGATATGCATGCTAATGACCTACAATTATCAAATTAAAAAAGAAACATGCTAAAGGATGCCAGAGTGAACATGAGGAAAAGACCCACTCTCCTTTAACTTTTTACAAATAAAATTTAAACTATAAATTAGAAACACAAATAAACATGAGTGGCTCTAACATTCAAATGAAGTAAATGAATTGTGTAGGAGATTAACCCCTTAACTTTTTTTTTTTTTTAATTTCTTGACCAGCTCTTAGATGATGGTGGTGTTTATCTCCCTGTTCTCGGCAGCTCGAAAAGAAAGGCATGCAGAGATTGCTGCCCAAGCCTGGGTGCTCCTGGGGAGTCCTGCGTTACAGGAAGCAGCTGCATGATCTGCTGTGCAGTGGGGTTGTCGTGGGGAGAACCCTCCCTGGCCTCTCCTGGTGCGGGCTCCACGCTGTCAGTGAGGCTCACCTCACAAAGATCTTCGGAGAGAGGGAGGAGGGGATCGGAGCGCCATGCGAGCCTCCCCTGCTCCTGCCTGCTCACCCTGCCTGAAGGTTCTACTGGCCATCCTGCTTGTCAGCACACACAAGCTCTTGGGGGGCTGGGGCTCCTAGAGTGGGCTCATCAGCAGGGTTCTGGGCAGTGGCCAGGAACTTGCCATGTCCCTCATTGTGGTCTCTCACAAGCCGCAACACCTGCCCCTGCATCTCCAGCAGGTTCACCTGGAGGGAGGGGTGCTCAGCTGCCATACTGGTGCCGGCACCCACGTTCACCCCCACCCCCGCCCCCACAGAGATGTTGCACACCCTACCTTCATCTCCTCCCGGTCCTGGGCCAGCCTGACGATCTCCTCCTCCTCCCGGTGCCGCATCTTTGGCACTGTCCCCTGGCTCCCATATGGGGTGATGTACTTTCCTGCGGGAGGACATGGCTCAGATGCTGGAGCCCCTCCGACGGCCCTGCAGCTCCCCCTGCCGTGCCCTGGCCTCCCGCTCACTCATGGTGTCTGTCTTTCCCGAGAGGTGGATGAATTGAAGCTTTAGTTTCTCCACCCACTCCCTCAGGTCCACCTTCTCCTTCAGGAGGTCCATAAAGTCGCTCTGGAGCCAAAATAATGGGATCACGTCTCAGGAGCCACCTGCCTTGCCCCACCCCCACCCTTCTTGGCCTATGCCAGGACCTACTCATCTACAACTTCTCCTTGGCCCCCTGCAGGGCCCGGTGGGTCCCCCCACACACAGACTCACCCCCAGTCCCTGGGGCTGGGGCTGCTGCTTCTGGCTTCTTCTGGGACGAGGCCACTGGGTGAGCCAGGGGCTGGCAGCACATCCTTTGCTCCTCCTGGGCACTGGTTCCAGCGGAGTTGAAAAATGCCACCTGAAGGCAAGAGGTGAGTGTTCTTGTAGGGGCATACACAGAACAACTGGGGCAGGGAGGTGGAGCGCAGCCCCTTCCCTTGGGGCCTCAGAGAGTGCACCTGTTGGTCACAGGTGAAATGGTGTCTGATCACTGGCTCCCGGAAGGAGTGAAAGTCCACAGAAATCAGAAAGCGGGGAAACCAAGAACATAAGGGGGTCTGGGAGGGACCACAGAGGAAGGTGGCAAAGTGGGGGCAGGGCAAGTCAGGCTCACCACCGTCTCCCGGCTCTCCAGGTCCCCTGGGATGTTCGGCATGGGCTGAGGCGCCTCCTCCTCCATCTCCTGTGGGGGGGTGGCCAGAGGGGTCCTCAGACAACCCAACAAGGGAGGTACTGTGGGCTCACCTCTGCCCCCACACTCACTGTGTAACCTTGAGCCAGCCCCTCCCCAGAGGGGAATGAGCTGTTCTTTATTTTTACTTTTAAGAACCAAGATCTTGCTATATTGCCCAGGCACAGTCCCACTACCGATTGGTGCAGGAATTCTGACCTGCTCCATTTCTGACCTGGGCCAGTTCTCCCATCCTTAGGCAACCTGGTGGTCCCCCGCTCCCAGGAGGTCACCATATTGATGCCAAACTTAGTGCAGACACCCAGTCAGCATAATGGCCAGCTGTCTTAAAGGTCTCTTCCATCTCCTCAATCCTACAGTGCTAACAGTCCCCCTTTCCTCCTGGGGCTCTCTCCTCTTCCTCTGAGTGGTGTCCCGTACCTTCCCCAGGGAGAGCCATGAGGCTCAACTGGGCCTGTAGTTGCTGGTTCTGCTGGCTGGTAGCTTCCAGGTGCTCCTGAGATGCCAGGAAAGAGGGTGAGAAGGCACAGAGGTTGCCAGGTTGTCCCTCTTGGGGCCCCGTCCTCAGCAACTCCCTCCCCTGGGTCTCCTGCAACTTTTGGCGGGCCATCTTAGCCACTGCTTTGCCCTGAGCTTCCTGCTGCTGCAGCTGGTCCAATGAGCCGGGTCTGCAGCAGTAACTGCCTGTGCAGCGCCTCCTTCTCAGAGGTCAGCTGCTGATAGGCTGCCACCTGCTGCTGATAAGTGGCCACGTACTGCTTCAGGTGACCCAGGTACTGGCCTCGCTGCTGCTGCAGACTCTGAGCCTCTTGGCTCTTCAGCTCCACCTGCTGGAAGTCCCTGGGCATGAGGGCAGCTGGTGGCTGGCTTCCAGATTCCTGGCCCATTAATAGGGTAGTGAGGGCACTGTGGGGCTCTGTGGCCTGCCCAGGCCCCTGGCCCCTTGCTCCAGGCCTAAGAGACTGCCTCCCTTGCCTAGAACCCCATGCCTCCTTCCCCAGCCTCAAATCTCACGTTCTTCTTCCAGCCATTTAAACTGTAGGCCACAGACTGGTGGAAAAGCAGAGGGAGCCAACCACCATCTGCTAAGTGTGCTACATGCCTAATGTTTCCACGTATTATCTCATTTAACCCTCGGCACCTCTGCGAAGAAAAAGCTCACTTCCTTTTGAAGTTAAAGAAACAGAGACTTAGAGATGGAAAGTAGTTGAATGATGACCAGTGGAACCGAGGCCGGAATCCAGTTTGAATCTAAGGAGTCGTTTTGGTTTTTTTCATATTTTGTTTTGGGACAGTGTCACTCTGTGTCCCAGGCTGGAGTGCAGTGGTGCGATCTCAGCTCACTGCAACCTCCACCTCCTGGGCTCAAGTGATTCTCATGTCTCAGCCTCCTGAGTAGCTGGGATTACAGGCATGCACCACCATGCCCGGCTAATTTTTTTTTTTTTTTTTTTTTGTAATTTTGTAGAGATAAGGTTTTGCCATTTTGGCCAGGCTGGTCTCAAACTCCTGATCTCAAGTGATTCTCCTGCCTCAGCCTCCCAAAATGCTGGGATTACAAGTGTGAGCCACTGCACCTGGTATAAGGAGCCTCTTATGCCACTGTCTCTTCCTCTGTGATTGGAGGGCTCCATGCCTCTAGCTGGGATGATGATGTCCAGACCTGGGAGGAGCCAGGGCTACCCACCTCTAAAAGTCAGAGGGCAGGAAGCAAGAAACAGTCATAGGACTGCCCTGGAGGGTGCTGGGGTCACCTGCCCCCAGGCTGCAGCTGCCTCTGGCCTGGCACCTCCCCTCCCCAGAGGCTGGTGCCCGCCTCCCAGACCTTCTTGGACGGGTCGGAGGTTACCGTCCCCTTCAGCTAGCCCAGCTTCTCCTGCAGCTCCTTTACTTGCTGCTCCAACTGCAGTGCGCTCTTGTTCTCGTTCTGGACAGAGAGAAGCAATCAGCAGCCACCCGCTGCAACTGGAGACCCCAGAACTTGGTGTCTGCCTCCCATAGCACTGGGAAGGGTGGAGGGAGGTTAGAAAAATCATCCCCTCTCTCCCACAGCCATCAGAGCAGGGCTCCGGCTCACAGGTGCCTTAGAAGTACCATTTCATGTGAGGGCTACACTGCCCCATTTTACAGGTGGGGAAACAAAGGCCTGGCGGGCTAGGGAGGAGGGCTGGGGTTGGGGGGCCCAGTCCAGTGTGCCTCAGGGGTGGTATGGACTCCGGCAACGGTCTTGTTGTCGGAGGGGATCTGTGGCTGGGTTGGGGGCCATGACCTGGTGCGTTTTACCTTTTTCCTGGCTGCGGCCCATTTGCCCTGTCGTGTTTTTTCTGACATCATGGGGTGTGGAGGGAGGCGGGGTTGGGCCACATCAGTGAAATCCCAGTGAGCACTGATGAATGCCTCCAGTCACCTACCAGGCAGCTGTGCAACTGAGCCAGAAGAGGCATAACCGGGGCCCCACTAGAATGCAGAATAGGGGCGTGGCCTTAATGCTCCAAGCCCATTGGTCAATGAGAAATATGAAAGGGAAAGGAGGCGTGGCCAGGTAGCACCGTGTCCAGAAGGACCTGTGGTTCACAAGGAAAGCTGCCCATGCAACCGCTGTACCCGACCACTCAGAGAGAGGGAGGGGCCGCCCACTCAGAGGGGAGGGGCCGGCTTTTGCTTTAAAACCTTTAAAACTGTAAAAAATAAACTTTAAAAAATGTATGTGTGTATTCTTTATATATATGTGTGTCTGTGTGTGTGTATCTACGTGTTCCTCCAGAGCTGTCTCCATTATCCAGCTTCTATGCAAGGTCTATAATTTTGGCCTATATTTTTCATCTTCAAATGGAGTACAATAATTACCAGTATTACCTTAACTGAGATACAGATCCTATAAAAATGGAAAATCCATAGCATGCTTGATGATTAATGAAGCAGGCTATAGTATCCAACATTCCAATAAGATAAAATAATCACAATGATTTCTCTTTTTTTGGAAAAACGTTTCTTTTATTCTCCTACATTATTAAGATTTTTTTTTTAAAACAAGAAACATGTCAAATATCTTGAAAAACACAAAGCTTTTGGGCTGGGTGCGGTGGCTTACGCCTGTAATCCCAGCACTTCGGGAGGCCAAGGCAGGTGGATCACCTGAGGTCAGGAGTTCGAGAACAGCCTGGCCAACATGAAGAAACCCCGTCTCTACTAAAAATACAAAAGCTAGCCAGGCATGGTGGTGGGTGCCTGTAATCCCAGCCATTTGGGAGGCTGAGGCGGGAGAATCACTTGAACCCAGGAGACGGAGGTTGCAGTGAGCCAAGCTCACGCCACTGCATTCCAGCCTGGGTGACAGAGCAAGACTCCATCTCAAAAGAAATAAAATAAAATACAAAATAAGAATAGAAAGCTTTCAATTTAATAAGCACTTAAAGCTCTTTACTGGTTTAAAACAAATACAAGGCCCATTTTTCTAGAATCACCTGGCTTCTCTAAGCCTTGCAAATGAAACTGAATTTCTCACTTGATGCTTAGCTATGACTTGCAATCATGAAAACCAAGAATTGTGTTATGTCACTGTGTACTGCTTGTTACCTGAATTCCACACTAGGCTGGGATCAAGGGTTGAATGTTTCATGATTTTCTCCATAACCTGTGTGCTTCTTATCCCAGACCAAACTAAGCTTTTTTCTAGAGTTCTACAATTTACAGTTAATAGACAAGAGTGGTTCTCAGTAATGTAGTCTCTGGACTAGCAGCACCAGCAGCACCTGAGAACTTTTTATAAGTGCAAATTATCAGGCCCCACCCTGGACCTGGTGCATCAGAAACTCTGGCTTAGGGCTCAGCAATCTGTGCTGCAGTCATCCCTCAGGGTGTTCAAGAACCTCTGGCATACAGCAGGTAGAAAAATGTGTTTCCTTCTCTAGGTCCAAAGCCAGGGATACTATATGTTCTGTCTTGATATGAAACAATGACATGCAATTAAGACACATGAATCTCCTTTCTACTCCCACCCTCCATCCAATGTGTTTTATTTTTATGAGTTCAATAAGAAAATAAGTGGCAATCAGAGATTTAGTCTAAAATGTATATTTACAAGTGTCAGTTCTCATCCAGCCTGATCTCATACAAAACCATTTACATCCTCTTATATCTCAAGTTTTAAAAAAGTATCTTTACAATGTAACTCTCAGGCACACTAGGAGTTCTATAATAAAACACCAAGTAGATCAGAATGTCCAACCTTACTAGAGAAGAAAAGTGGAATCATTGGCTATATTTTCAAATTGCATTCAACAGGAAATTTAAGTTTTGATTTTTTTTCACTGTCATACTTCCAAGTTAATAGAATTAAACCAGAATATGCCATTCTTTCAAATCCTCCAGCCAGGCAAAATTTTACTGTATTACTTCTTGCTTTCAATGAATATAAAGCAGACTCCTGATAGGCACATTTTGTATACCTGCAAAGATGCAGAACTGAACAGTTCCATCTGTTCAATATTAAAACAAAAGTCCTGTAAACCTCGGATGGTGAGTGTAATACTTCAGCACTAGCACCAAAGCCTCAAATATGAAAGGATACCAAGAACACCACTAGCAAACAAAAGTGAGCTCTTGGCTGGGAGCACTAGTTCATGCCGTAATCCCAGCACATTGGCAAGCCAAGGTGGGAGGATTACTTGAAGTCAGGAGTTCAAGACCAGCCTGGGCAGCATAGCGAATTCACAACTCTACAAAAAATTTTAAAAATTAGCTGGGTGTGGTGGCACACACCTGTAGTCCTATCTACTTGGGAGGCTGATGTAGGAAAATCGCTTGAGCCCAGGAGTTCGAGGCTGCGGTAGCTATGATCATGCCACTGTACTCCAGCCTGGGTGACAGGGCAAGACTTAGACAATTAAAGTCTGTCCTGTTCCTGTTTACATTAAAATCACTAAGTTAAAATGCTTTCAATCAGCAGGATAAAAATTAAGTGAAATATGACTTTGGAGTTTGGCCAGAAAATAGACAATGGAGAAACAGACACTTCCCACAGGAATAAAAATGGCCAATAAGCATGTAAAAAAGATTCAAAAGCACTAGAAGCTAAAGAAATGTAATGAAAACAATGAGATTTTCTGCTTAAAGACTAGCAAAGAGGACAAATGGAAGGGGGAAACTGGAGCTCTGTCTCTGTTGGTGGGAGTATAAACTGAACCAATTTTCCTGCAGTATAATTTGAAAATTTTTATTAAAAACACTAGAACTGTTTTATGTTATTGTCCTCCAGAAATTCTACTTCTATAAATTCAGTCCAAAAATGCTTGCTCGAGTCCATTAAAATGTATATATAAGAAAATTTACTTCTAGGGTGACAATGATTAACTTAATATACATCCAACTATTAAAAATGATGATGCCAAGGATATATTTACTGCCATAGAAATTTACTGCCCAAAACATAGTGACAAAAGACTATATGTTATGATTCTACTTTTAAAAATGTTTATATGCATAAAAAAGTATAAAAAGCAACAAATCAGAATGTTTTGAGTGGCAAAATTAGACTTTTCTTCATATTTTGTCTTCCAAATTATTACAAAACAATGTGACTTTCTTTTTTTTTTTTTTTTTTTGAGACAGAGTCTCGGTCTGTCACCCAGGCTGGGGTGCAGTGGCGCGATCTCAGCTCACTGCAACCTCCACCTCCTGGATTCAAGCAATTCTCCTGCCTCAGCCTCCTGAGTAGCTAGGATTATAGGCATGCACCACCACGCCCGGCTAATTTTCGTATTTTTAGTAGAGACGGGGTTTCACTATAATGGACAGGCTGGTCTCGAACTCCTGACCTCATGATCCACCCACTTCGACCTTCCAAAGTGCTGGGATTACAGGCATGAGCCACCATGCCCGGCCTCTAAGAATGTGATTTTCTTTATGATCAGGGAGAAGTATTATTTTCATTTATTTATATTTAAATTTTTTTATTTTCCCTATTTTTTCTCATGTATGTATCACATGCAGTCTAGAGAGCCGGAATCCCTGCCTCTTGAGGTAAATCAGCCCATTTCTGTCTCTATAAATTTGTCTTTTCTGGACATTTCAAATCAACGGAATTATACAATATGTGGTCTCGTGTCTGGCTTTTTTACTTAGCTAATGTTTTTGAGGTTGATCCATGACACGACATGTTTTGGTAGTTTGTTCCTTTCATTACTGAGTAGAAGACCATTGATGGAAATAGCACATTTTGTCAGCAGAGAGCCTTTGAAACTTGGATTCCAACTTCCTGTGGCCTAAATGAAACCCTCAGAACACAGGACTTACAGGCGAAGCTGCCGTATATGTCAAAGTAACTACTTATCAGAACTAGCTTTGTCATCAGGAGCCTGAATTTTCATCATTTTGCAACTTAACTTTTTTTTTTTTTTTTTGATACGGAGTTTCGCTATTTTTGCCCAGGCTGGAGTGCAATGGCGCTATCTCGGCTCACTGCAACCTCTGCCTCCCAGGTTCAAGTGATTCTCCTGCCTCAGCCTCCCGAGTAGCTGGGATTACAGGCATGTGCCACCATGCCTGGCTAATTTTGTATTTTTTAAGTAGATACAGGGTTTCTCCAGGTTGGCCAGGCTGGTCTCAAACTCCCGACCTCATGTGATCCACCCACCTTGGCCTCCCAAAGTGCTGGGATTACAGGCATGAGACACTGCGCCCGGCCTGCAACTTATTTTTTACAAGCAACTTTTGTGCTACATGTCAGGACTTTGGAAGCATCTGATACATTAATTTAATAAGTATGAGCATGTGGCTGAGTGGACAAGAAAGTGAAACCATCCATGCTACATTGCATATTTTTTCCTCTCCCAGACTGGACCAGGGAATCTCCCAACTTTCTAGAGTATCCTGTCTTCATTTACAAAGCTGAACAGTATTAAAGATCCTGCTGCCTTTGTTAGGCAGATTTGGAGGGGAGGCCCAACAGCAGTGGTGGAGAGGAAAAAGAGAGTGGAGCCTGTGGAACAGGAAGCCCCCCTCCCCGCCCCCCGACACCGGGGTCCGCACAGGGCTCCCAGCTGTTGAGGATGTTGTGGATGGGGAAGTGCTGATAGTGTCACCAGGCAAGCCTAGCACCTCCAATGGGCCCAGAAGGTCTTGACTTTGGACCCTTACCCTTGTTTCACAAGTGTTTAAAAGCTGTTTTTGCTTTTGTTATTTTCCCGAATACTCATTACTTAGTAGGTAGTTATTAATCTTTCTTTGGGAGAGGGACAGGGCTTTAAAACTGAAGAACATAATTTTCATAAAAATATCAAAAATAGAAAAAAAGTTACTTTAGAAACAATTTGCTATATAAACCAAATGGCAGCTGTTGAGAATCTCAATAAAATGTTAAATGCATTTGCTGCTTTTAGAAGAAATAAAGAAAAAAAAATTAGATGAAATAAAGAAAAAAATGCATTTGCTGTCAGTGGTACCCTTTTGCCTAAGGGTGGCACTGTGTCATCATACTGTGGTGGGGGGTGTGTGTGCTGTATATGTGTGAAACTTTTCATCTCAGGATAGATCATAGTCTTAGTTGCAGTTTTCCTTCCAAATAGGGTTACAAAGTAGTAAAACATGGACTTGGAAGTGACAGACCTGAGGGAATCAGTGCAGCTTAAAAAAAAATCCAATAAAACTAACTTTTAATAATCCTTAGATTGGTTTTTGAAACAATAGATATAATTATTTACTCTAAGCATCTGGTTATGATTTTGAAACAATAATACATGCTGTCTCCGCCCTTTTTTTCTTTTCTTTTTTTTTTTTTTTTTCTTATGGAAACAGACGTTTTATCCAGAAAACCCCAGTGACTTTTTTTTTTTTTTTTTTCCAAACATGGTCTTACTCTGTTGCCCAAGCTGGAGTGGAGTGGTGGATCTCAGCTCACTGCAGCCTCAACCTCCCACCTCAGCCTCCCCAGCAGCTGCATCCACAGGCACCACTGTGCCCTGCCAATTTATTATATTTTTTGTACAGATGGGGCTTTTCCATGTTGCCCAGGCTGGTCTCAAACTTCTAGGCTCAAGCGGTTCGCCCACTTCGGCCTCCCAAAGTGATGTGACTACAGGCATAAGCCACTGTGCCCAGCCTGCAGTGACTTTTTAAAACATAAGTTCAAGCATCTCTTCTTAACTCCTTTAATTGGAGGTATCTCTTCTCTCATTGTCCTCATCTTTAGTGTTCCCCCAGAGTTCACTGCTGACTGGATGTACAACACATATTTCTTTCTTTTTTTTTTTTTTTTTTTTTTGAGACAGAGTCTCGCTCTGTTGCCCAGGCTGGAGTGCAATGGCGCGATCGCGGCTCACTGCAAGCTCCGCCTTCCGGGTTCACGCCATTCTCCTGCCTCAGCCTCCCGAGTAGCTGGGACTACAGGCGCCCGCCACCACGCCCGGCTAATTTTTTGTATTTTTTAGTAAAGACAGGGTTTCACCGTGTTAGCCAGGATGGTCTCGATCTCCTGACCTCGTGATCCGCCCGCCTTGGCCTCCCACAGTGCTGGGATTACAGGCGTGAGCCACCGCGCCAGTCCCACAACATATATTTCAAAGTCAAGGCTGAGTGCGGTGGCTCACGCCTATAATCACAGCAATTTGGGAGTCAGGGCAGGCAGATCGCTCGAGTCCAGGAGTTCTAGACCTGCCTGGGCAACATGGCGAAACCCTGTTTGTATTAAAAATACAAAAAATTGGGCGTTTCCGGGAGCGCCCCGTGGAGTTGGTGTCAGCCGCTTTTGGCATGGCGGCCTTTTCCGGCCCGGCTGGGCCAATCCTGTCGCTGAACCCACAGAAAGATGTGGGTTTCAGAAGGAGGTGGCACAGGTTCTGCGCATAACCCAGCGAGAAAAACAAGAACAACTTACTCCTGGAGTGGTCTACGTGTGCCACCTACATAACCTACTGAACGAAACCCAGATTCTTTCATATTCCTCCCAGTGTGGCACTGTTACAAGCTTCAGACTATCCAGACAGAAAAGGACTGGAAATAGCAAAGGCTATGCATGTGTGGAGTATGAGTCTGAGGATGTTGCCAAGATAGTTGCTGAAACAATGAACAACTACCTGTTTGGCGAAAGACTCTGGGAGTGTCATTTTATGACACCTGAAAAAGTACAGAAAGAACTCTTTAAAGACTGGGATATTCCGTTTAAGCAGGCATCATATCCATCAGTGAAACGGTATAATCAGAATCGGCACTTACACAAAAGCTGTGGGTGGAGGGGCGATTTAAAAAGAAAGATTACTCAAGAAGAAATTAGCTTAAAAAGGAATTGATTATGATTTTCCTTCTTTGATTTTACAGAAAACAGAAAGTATTTCAAAAACGAATCATCAGACGTCTACAAAGGGCCAGGTTTGCCGGGCACGGTGGCTCACGCCTGCAATCCCAGCACTTTGGGAGGCCGATGCGGGCGGATCACCTGAGGTCAGGAGTTCGAGACCAGCCTGGCCAACATGGTGAAACCCTGTTTCTACTAAAAAATACAAAAATTAGCCAGGCATGGTGTTGGGCACCTTTAATCCCAGCTACTCGGGAGGCTGAGGCAGGAGAATTGATCGAACCTGGGAGGCAGAGGTTGCAGTGAGCCGAGATCGTGCCATTGCACTCCAGCCTGGGCAACAAGAGCGAAAGTCTATCTGAAAACAAACAAACAAACAAACAAACAAAAAACAAAAGGCCAGGTTTTACATAAGAAGCAGCGAAAGGTTTTAGGCACTCCTGACACTCCTGAGAAGACTGTGGATAGCCAGGGCCCCACACCGGTTTGTACCTCAACATTTTTGGAGAGACGAAAATCTGAAGTGGCTGAAATGAACAATGATGATGAAGATAACAAAATAGTTTTCAAACAGCCCATATCCTGTGTAAAAGAAGAAATACAAGAGACTCAAACACCTACACATTCACAGAAAAAAAGATGAAGAAAAAGCAATTAGTGATTTTCAATGTATTATGTATAATATTTCTTCTGAAAAACATAATATTTTTATGAGAAAAAATACAAAAAATTAGCTAGGCATGGTGGCTCATGCCCATAGTCCCAGCTACTCAGGAGGCTGAAGTGGGAGGATCACCTGAGCCCAGAAGTTGAGGCTGCCGTGAGCCATGATCATGCCGCTGCACTCCAGCCAAGTCAAGTCATTACATTTATCTTAACCTATTCTAGGCTGGCTTAAGAGGGATCTGTATTAAGAATACAATAGGCAATCTCACAGACATCTAAGTACAGAACTCAATATATGACCACACCATGGAAGGACTGTGCTGGGAGGTGATTTTCCTCTCCTGCATGCCTTCACTCTGGACTTCTGCTCCATGCTTGTGCTTTGCTTTGCAGATGGACGTTCGGCACGTGCTCCAGGCTCCTCCAGCCGCTGAGACTTTGGCTTGCCCTGGCAGTACCCCTGGTCCCAGTGTTACTGGACCTTTCCATACAGATGCTCCTCTGCAAAAAATCTATCGAACACTCTCTGTGTCATTTCCAATTAGCAGGATAAAGATTCTGATCTGCCTAGCAGTGGGGGTGGGAGTTCCCTAGTTGTCCCTGGATTTGTAGTGCTGCCCTTTCCAGAGACTCGAGGAGGAGCTGGATATCCAAAAAGAGGGTGTGGGTAGGGAATCAGTAGTACAGTCTACTTCAACAAGAAAGTATAAAGTAGAGGCGGTGGCTCACGCCTGTAATCCCAGCACTTTAGGAGGCCGAGGCAGCCGGATTACTTAAACTCAGGAATTTGAGACCAGACTGGGCAACATGGCAAAACCCCATCTCTACTAAGAATACAAAAAATTAGCGGGGCATGGTGGCACATGCCTGTAGTCCCAGCTACTTAGGAGGTTGAGGTGAGAGGCTTGCTTGAGCCCAAGAAGTTGAGGCTGCAGTCAGTCGAGATCACCATGCCACTGCACTCCAGCCTGGGCGACAGAGCAAGACCCTGTCTCAAAAAAAAAAAAAAAAAAAAAGTTTAAAGTAGAAGCAAGCATCTCTATGCATGACTGAAGTCATGCTTTCCATACATTTTTTTCCAACTTGCCTTTTTTCTCTCTAAAACACTGTATCTTAAGCTTTTCCCTGTTATCAAGTACTCATAAGCATTATCTGAATGGTTGTATCAGAATCCATTATCTGGACTCATTGTCATTTATCCATCTGTAGTTGCTGGGGATACTGCCCTTTCTGCCACACTCAGTCACCCTTCTGACCTTGCTCTGTGTCCAGTTATCTACTAATACACATACTGGTCATTTAGGACTTATAATTAAGAAGAAATAGTTATCATAGTTCCTAACACTTCAAAAAGAATGTAGCTTCCTAAAAATAGAATGGCTTGGTGGTTATGACAATTTTAAAGCGAAACAGACAAATCGATATTTAAGTTAACGTTCTGCTTTCTTCTTGTATCTATTTTTCACTTCTCTGTGATTTTGATGGGTAAAGTTTCATTTGGAAGGATTTTTATTTCAAAATAGAAATAGCATATGCCATGAGAATGGGAACTCTGAAAGGTTCAGCTTTCTAGTCATTAGTTTCCTAAGATTGCCACAAAAGCTACTGATAGTCAATCATGATTGGCCTGTAGGGAAAGTGAGTTAATATTATGTACAACTTAAGCACTTTACTTTCTATCAGATATGGAAAAATAGGTGGTGTGTTTGGAAAAGTATTGGGGTAGGAGTTAGGAAGCTTGACTGTTAGTCCCAACCCTCCTTCTTCAGCTGAGCACCTCTAGGCAATAACTCAGCAGCTATTTCTTAAATACCTAATGAGTTTCAGGCTTTGCTGTTGGGCTGGGAATCTTGACATAGATATTGCTTCACGATTCTCCAAGTCTCCCCTCCTCACCCCAGCTCACAGTGAGCTTTCTTATGCACTGTGTAAATTTCTCTCCTAACAGGCCCAACTCTCTCTCCAACCTGCTTCCCAGGGCAGTTGTGAGGATCAAATGAGAGAGAATATGGATGAAAGCAAATTGTAAATGATTTTAAAATGCAATAAAAATATGACCCATGGAAAATTATTTAAAGATCCTTAGAATTTTAAACAGCACATTAACCTGAGTTCTCTATGATTTTTATTTTAAATAGAGATGAAAGTTTTACAATGGACCACAGATATGGTTGAAAATCTTGGATTGATTATTGTCCGAGAAAATGATACAGTGGTTTGTGTGATGAATTTTCTAAAATTGCCAGCCAAAAAAAAAACAAAACCTTTTTTGAGTTGAGTCAAAGGAACGTTGACTGTGTAATGGAGAAATGTTTTGTGTTCACTAACAGCTTGCCTTTGATTCCAGCTGCAGCATATCATGAGTGATGAGATCTGTGTGCAGGTGACTGACCTTCACCTGGCAGAAAATAATAATGGGGCCACCAGAGGCCAGCCAAACACTCAGAACTCAAGGAGCCTCCTGGAGTCAACGTATCAGCGGAAAGCTGGGCAGCTAATGTCAAATGAGAAATGCTTTAACGTGAGACTTGCTCATATAGTCAAAGACCTTGCTGGTGACAATGTAAGTTGTTAAAATTATCTGAACCAGAAGTTAAAGCAAGGGTACTTTGACCCCATGATTCTACTTCTGCATTTTTTTTTTTTTTTTTTTTTGAGGCAGAGTCTCACTCTCGCCCAGGCTGGAATGCAGTGGCACGATTTTGGCTCACTGCAACCTCTGCCTCCCGGGTTCAAGCGATTCTCCTGCCTCAGCCTCCTGAGTACCTGGGATTACAGGCGCCTGCCACCATGCCTGGGTAATTTTTTGTATTTTTAGTAGAGACAGGGTTTCACCGTGTTAGCCAGGATGGTCTCAATCTCCTGACCTCGTGATCTGCCCACCTCGGCCTCCCAAAGTGCTGGGATTACAGGCATGAGCCACCATGCCCAGCCCTCCTGGAACTTTTTAGAGTTCCTAATGAGTTCACCAGAGAAACACAAAGTGGAAGTAACTATCTTCCTGGACAATCTATACTTTGTTTCTTTTTTGGCTTTAAAAACAAACAAAAAGAAAACTAGTTATATATGATTTTTACAGTTGTGTATTCTTCTTTTTCTCTGAACATTTTTCATAGTATGCTTTGTAAATATTATTGCTAGAAAAATGTTGGTACATGAAATCCATGGTCATGGTCATTACAGAAAAGAAAACGTAGGCCTGGCACACATAGGTCACACTTGTAATCCCAGCACTCTGGGAGGCCAAGGTGGGCGGATCGCTTGAGACCAGCTTGGGCAACATGGCAAAACCCCATCTTTGCAAAAAATACAAGAATGCAAAAATTAGCCAGGTGTGGTGGCTTGCGCCTGTAGTCCCAGCTACTCAGGAGACTGAGGTGGGAGGATGGCTTAAGCCTGGGAGGTCAAGGCTGCAGTGAGCCCTGATCGCATCACTGCACTCCAGCCTGGGTGACACAGCAAGACCCTATCTCAAAAAAATAAAAGAAAAAAAAATGCAGATAACCAAAAAACGTCACCTTAAAATTCTTTCCTGAAATTACCATTGATGACATTTCTAGACTTTTTTTCTATGCTTGAGTATATATTTTGAAAGAGTTTATACTGGACAAATGGTCTTTAAGTTTTTTTTGTCTTGACACAGGGTCAGGCTCTGTTGCCCAGGCTAGAGTGCAGTGACACAGTCTTAGCTCACTGCAACCTCTGACTCCTGGGTTCAGGTGATCATCATGCCTCAGCCACCCTGGTAGCTGGAATTACAGGCATGTGCCACCATACTGGCTAATTTTTGTATTTTTAGTAGAGATGTGTGTCAGATCCCAGGGTCCAGGTCCTGCCCATGCTGAAGTCTGAGGGGAGTGGGTGGGTAAGCAGAAAGAATATTCCGGGTGGGGGGGCTGTAGGCAGGTGAAAGATAGTTTTATTCAGCAGCAGCTCTCATTAACAGCTTTCTTACACTAGCTCTCTTATTAGCAGCTTACTCTTAACACTATTAGCCCTGTCTCAGCTGCTTGAGCCAGCTGCCCCCCAACACAGCTGTGCAGCCGACTCTCCCTTGCCTTCAGGTTAAGCAGCTTAACTCTTTCTCTCTGGGCACGAGCAAGCCCAGCTGTGTCCTGGCTCCCTCCTGTCGGTCTGCAAGATGGACAGCTTTGGCTTTCTCTTTCTCTGGGTGCCAGCACGCCTGCCATGTGTGGCTAGCCATGTGTACTACAATGACTTTCCTAAAAAAACAACTGGCTGGGCATGGTGGCTCATGCCTGTAATCCCAGCACTTTGGGAGGCCAAGGTGGGTGGATCACGAGGTCAGGAGTTCGAAACCAGCCTGGCCAACATGGTGAAACCCCATCTCTACTAAAAATACAAAGATTAGCCAGGTGTGGTGGCACGTGCCTGTAGTCCTAGCTACTTGGGAGGTTGAGGCAGAATAATTGCTTGAACTTGGGAGGCGGAGGTTTCAGTGAGCCAGGACCGTGCCGTTGTACTCCAGCCTAGGCAACAGAGTTAGACTCTGTCTCAAAACAAACAAACAAAAAAAAAGAACTCTGCCGTTTCAATTGTACTCATTTAACCCTTTTAAAAAATGTATTATAATTAGATATGTACCAAGGTTTAGTGTACCCTTGAAAAATACTGGCTTGAGATTTTGGCCCAAATCTGTCCCTATCTGCCAGACTCCTTCTAAATACAGATCTGATAATGTTGTTTCCCTCTTTTATTAATGACCAAAGCCAGCAATTATTGAGAAATAAGTGGCAGTAATTGTACGAAACATTTTACACGCATTCTCTCATTGAAACCCCACAACAATCCTGTGATTATCACTCCTATTTTACAGATGAAGAAACTGAGGCTGGGTGAACTCAGCCCCATGGCAAATAAGTGACAGGGCCTGAATCCAAACCTGGAGAGTCTGTCTCCAAAGCCTGAGCTTAACCTTGAAGCAATCTGCTTCCTTCATGGGCACCAGGTGTGGAATAAATTCCTAACTCCTTGGGAAGGCATTCAAGGCCTTTCCCAGTCTGGTCCCAACTATTTTTTGGAAACTCTCCTCTTCCCTTCCTCCCACCACTGTGCAGTCCACACCACTCAGTTCCCAACACACAGTGTCCCTCTACTCTTCAATACCTTCATTCATGCTCTTCCCTCAGGTCCTGTCTCTTGTTCCACATGCCCTATCAAACTTTTTTTTTCTTTTGAGGCAGGGTCTTGCTCTGTCACTCCGGCTGGAGTGCAGTGGCACAGTCGTGGCTCATTGCAGCCTCAAACCCCTGGCCTCAAGTGATCCTCCCACCTCAGCCTCCCGAGCAGCTGGGGCCACAGGCAAGGGCCACCATGCTGGGCTAATTTTTTTTTTTTTTTTTTTTTTTAAGACGGAGTCTCGCTCTGTCACCTAGGCTGGAGTGCAGTGGCGCGATCTCCGCTCACTGCAAGCTCCGCCTCCTGGGTTCACGCCATTCCCCTGCCTTAGCCTCCCGAGTAACTGGGACCACAGGCGCCCACCACCATGCCCGGCTAATTTTTTGTATTTTTAGTACAGACAGGGTTTCACCATGTTAGCCAGGATGGTCTCGATCTGACCTCGTGATCTGCCCGCCTCAGCCTCCCAAAATGCTGGGATTACAGGCGTGAGGCACCGCGCCCGGCCTAATTTTTTTTTTTTTTTAGGAGACGGGGTCTCACTATGCTGCCCAGGCTGGCCTCAAACTTCTAGCCTCAAGTGATCCTCTCACCTTGGCCTCCCAAAGTGCTGGGATGACAGGCGTGAGCCACTACACCTGGCCACCTGTCAGACTTTCTACACAGCATCTTCAAGGCTCTGTTCAAATGTCACCTCCTGGCAGGGTACAGTGGCTCACGCCTGTCATCCCGGCACTTTGGGAGGCCAAGGTGGGCAGATCACTTGAGGTGAGGAGTCCAAGACCAGCCTGGCCAACATGGTGAAGCCCCATCTCTACTAAAAATACAAAAAATTAGCTGGGCGTGGTGGCAGGTGCCTTTAATCTCAGCTACTTGGGAGGCTGAGGCAGGATAATCACTTGAACCCAGGAGGCGGAGGTTGCAGTGAGCCAAGATCATGCCACTGCCCTCCAGCCTGGGTGACAGAGCGAGACTCTGTCTCAAAAAAAAAAAAAAAAAAAAGAGTATCTATTCTTTGACTCACCAATTCTAATTCTGGGAATTCTAAGGAAATGATAAAGTTATATGTCAATAAAAAAGACAAAAAAGATTCGCTAAAAGAGGTTTATCACAACAGTGGTGAAAATTTAGAAATGACCAAAATGTCCCACAACAAAAGAATAATTATATAGCTCACTGTAGCCTTGAACTCCTGTGCTCAAGGGATTCTCCTGCCTCAGCCTCCTAAGTAGCTGGGACTACAGGTAACTGCTATTTTTATAGGTAAAAAATGGTCAGATATATGGTTCAATCTAATATTTGACTTCATACAACAAAATAATATTATATTCCATAAAACAAAATATGAGGTGGTTATTTTAACTGATGTAAAGATATTTATTGTCAAAATATATTCACCATACATGTAAGAAAGAATGTACAGTATAATCCCAATATTACTTTCATTATTATTTTTATCTTTCGAGGCAGAGTCTCTGTCACCAAGGCCGGAGTGCAGTGGTGTGGCCTCGGCTCACTGAAGCCTCTGCCTCTCAGGTTCAGGTGATTCTCCTGCCTCAGCCTCCCGGGTAGCTGGGATTACAGGCCTGTGCAACCATACCTGGCTAATTCTATTTTTTTTTTTCAAGTTTAGAATTCCTGGTTTATTGGGAAAACTTCATAATGAAAACTTCAATTGCCCTTTTCCATGACTTACAAAATAATAATGTGATATTTAAAATGAATTGTTTTTCATTATGTAAGTGGAAATGGTAAAAAATAGTAATAACCCATTTGATGCATCATATATATGCTATTCAGGGAAACTCAAATCCCTGAATTCTCCTGTGGCATGTTTTACATCAGACATTTTAAATCTGTTTACCAAGAAAGACCAGGATTTTAACTATATGTAGGTTTCTACTTACAGTTGCAATCTATCAGAAGCCTGTCTATATGATTAGAGCCCAGATACATCTGAAGTTTAGAAAAGCAAGCCATTTTTCTCCTTAGGCTGTTTTAGTGGCACTTTTGTGACAGGAAGGGCTCTCCTAATCCTTTAGTACACAACTTAACCAGATCTATCAGTCATGATAAATTAGACTGATATATCTAATCTATCAGTCCATCTTTCAATCCAGTTACTCTGGTTCTGAACCTATAAACACAAAACACTACAGATTTATTAATATAGCATTTTCCAACACCCTAACCCTATACAGAACTTTAAAAGAGAAAATTTCATCTAAATATTTCACACCTAAGAAAGCCTTACTAACCACGGCAACAGGTTTGGACCACAAAACAATACTTTCTTAGATGATATATAGAGTCAACATGAAGCTTAGCAAGAATGAATTATTCAGGGCTGGGCGCGGTGGCTCACGCCTGTAATCCCGGCACTTTGGGAGGCTGAGGTGGGCAGATCACGAGGTCAGGAGATCGAGACCATCATGGCTAACACGGTAAAACCCTGTCTCTACTAAAAATACAAAAAATTAGCCGGGCGTGGTGGTGGACGCCTGTAGTCCCAGCTACTCGGGAGGCTGAGGCGGGAGGATAGCGTGAACCCGAGAGGCAGAGCTTGCAGTGAGCCGAGATCACGCCATCACACTCCAGCCTGGGAGACAGAGTGAGACTCCGTCTCAAAAAAAAAAAAAGAATTATTCAGGATATTAATGAGAAATTCTCACAAACAATATGCATTTAGGAAACTATTTTGCTTCCTTAAATAGTTTGAAGGCTTGAAAAAAAAAGCTTTTTTTTTGGCATTTCTTTTAGAATGTTTGGTCATTGACAATTTTTGTTTGTTTTGAGACAGAGTCTTGCTCTGTTGACCAGGCTGTAGTGCAATGGCACAATCTCGGTTCACTGCAACCTCCACCTCTCTGGTTCAAGCGATTCTCCTGCCTCAGCCTCCCCAGTAGCTGGGACTACAGGCATGTGCCACCAAGCCTGGCTAATTTTTGTATTTTCAGTAGAGACGGCGTTTCACCATGTTTGCCAGGCTGGTCTTGAACTTGTGACCTCAGGTGATTGGCCTGCCTCGGCCTCCCAAAGTGCTGAGATTACAAGCGTGAGCCACCACACCCGGCCAGTCATTGACAATTTTTACCATTACCTTCCTCTTCTCCTTAGCCCTTAACAGACCAAGTCCATTCTATTTGGAAATAACAAGAACTTGATCCAATTATTAAATCTTGGAAACCATCTCATTTTTACCTTATAAAGTGTTAAGTTTCATGTTCATATTCTCTTACAAACATAGCATAAATGTTATGGGTAGATATAAGGAAATATTGGCATAGTATAGGTAATTAGTGAAAAGACACAACTTCACAAAACATAATAAAAGATGAACATGAAACTATAACACTACTTTAAAAATATTTTCTCCCAAATTATTTTAGCATTTTTGACTAGTTTGAGAATATGAACACTGCCAAAAAATAAGTTCGAAGTAGCCTAGAGAAACAGTTTCTTCTTCTGGAGTCCATCTTGGCAGTGGCGATTTTCTCCCACACTCATTCCCAAGTTAGGCGGATGTGTAGAAGTACCTGGGCTTGGTATTGCCCAGGAGGTCATCTTCGCAGCTGGGGAGGCAGCAGCAGAAGAAAGCACAGCCAATGAGGATAATCATGGCTGCCCACCCAAAGCCGCAGGCCCAGTTATAGATGGAAGTGACAGCGGGGCTTGGCATGAAGGTTGAAGGTTGAGTGTACTTCACGGGGTAAATTACCAGGGAGATGATCTGGAACACAGCAGCCAAGGCAAGGAGACCTCCAATCACTCTTAGGAAGACAAGTATCTGGGGTACACACAGGACGAAGAAGGAGAGGATGAAACAGATCACCAGGATGCTGACGCCCCAGAAAAGCATGGCAGCGCTGCTCGACCCCACGCGTACTCCATGAGGCTGTGGCAGCCGTCCTCTTAGGACCCGCTGCCGCCGCCGCCGCCCCTGTGGAAGGAAACATCTCCACCACAGCGAGGACGTCTGGACGCGGTCGCTCGACTGCAGCCAGCCGCGGCCGGCCAGCGCGATGATGTCGAAGGCGATGGCGCTGAGTAGGAGCAGGGTCAGGATCCAGCGGCAGCGCTCGCAGGCCAGGCCGCAGCGGATCATGTCGACCGGCGGTGTGGGGTCGAGAGGAGCCGAGCGGAGCGCGGCGGAGGAGCGCGCGGGCCCGGGCGGCGGCTGGGAGTCGCTAATTCTCGTATTTTTAGTAGAGACGGGGTTTCACCATGTTGGCCAAGCTAATCTCGAAATCCTGGCCTCAAGTGATCCACCCGCCTCGGCCTCCCAAACTGTTGGGACCACAGGCGTGAGCCACCGCGCCTGGCACAGTATTATTCTTTCGTGCTTGTCTTAAAGTTGTACATATGCTTAGAAAAATGTTGGTAGGATAGTAACTCTTCACTGGTGGGATCAGGGATGACTTTTGTTTTCATTTTGCTTGTCTTTTTCTTTAATGAGTATGTATTACTTGTGTAATAGATGAAGTAAAGCAGGAAGAAGGGTAGACATGGTATTTGAGATACAGCATTGGAGGTGTTTGTTTGTTTGAGATGGAGTCTCACTGTCACCCAAGGTGAAGTGCAGTGGCACAATCTCGGCTCACTGCAACCTCTGCCTCCCGGGTTCAAGCAATTCTCCTGCCTCAGCCTTCCCAGTAGCTGGGATTACAGGCATCTGCCACCACACCCAGATAATTTTTGTATTTTTAGTAGAGATGGGGTTTTGCCATGTTGGCCAGGCTGGTCTGAAACTCCTGACCTCAGGTGATCCGCCTGCCTCACGTGGTGGCTCACGTTGTAATCTCAGCATTTTGGGAGGCCGAAGCAGGCAGATCACCTGAGCACAGGAGTTCGAGACCAGCCTGGCCAAGATAGTGAAATCCTATCTCTACTAAAAATAAAAGATTAGCTGGGTGTGGTGGTGCATGCCTGTAGTCCCAGCTACTCGGGAGGCTAAGGAATGAGAATAGTTTGAACCCAGGAGGCAGAGATTGCAGTGAGCTGAGATTGAGCCACTGCACTCCAGCATGGATGACAGAGCAAGACCCTGTCTCAAAAGAAATAAAGGTCAGGCGTGTTGGCTCACGCCTATAATCCCAGCACTTTGGGAGGCCAAGGCAGGTAGATAACTTGAGGTCAGGAGTTTGAGACCAGCTTGGCCAACATGGTGAAATCCTGTCTCTACTAAAAATATAAAAAAAATTAGCTGGGCATGGTGGTGCCCGCCTGTAGTTCCAGCTACTCGGGAGGCTGAAGAATGAGAACCGCTTGAACCTGGGAGGCAGAGGTTGCAGTGAGGCAAGATTGAGCCACTGTACTCCAGTGTGGACGACAAGAGTGAGACCCTGTCTCAAAAGAAAAATAAAGGCCAGGCGTGGTGGCTCACACCTGTAATCCTAGCACTGTAGGAGGCCGAGACAGGCAGATCACTTGAGGTCAGAGTTTGAGACCAGCCTGGCCAACATGGTGAAACCCCATCTCTACTAAAAACACAAAAATTAGCTGGGCACAGTGGCAGACGCCTGTAATCCCAGCTACTCGGGAGGTTGAAGCAGGAGAATCAGTTGAACCTGGGAGGCGGAGGTTGCAGTGAGCTGAGATTGTGCCACTGTACTCCAGCCTGGGCGACAGAGCGAGAGTCCGTGTCAAAAATAAATTAAAAAACAAAGTTTTAAGAACAGCCTTTAGGTTTCTATAGCCCACTGCGAAAAGGGTATGGCATGATCAGATATTTGCAGGAGTGAGAAATGCAAATTTAAACAATCAAACAGCATCTAACACATCTTTAACAATTAAATACCATAAATATAACAAAACCATAAAAATACTGATAAGCTTCTACTATGAACTACATGATAGTGACAGGGCAGTGACAGCAAAGGTCCTATCTGCCCACTGTTGTATTACCAGCATCTGGATCGTAGAATTTTGCTTGGCATGTGACAGGGCTTTGTCATTTATACTGAGAACAGATCCTCAAGTTATCAATAATAATTGATAAAAGCAACAGTAATCAGTATTTTAATTGCTGTAATTGGACATTTGAAATAGCAGTAAGATTCTACAGAGTGGCAATGACTGAGTTGGAATGTAGGTGTTTCCATTAATGTCCTACATATATTTAAATTCGGAGTAGCCATTTTTCCTGGTAAATTGTGAAAGCAGGACATGGTTCTCCAAGGTTCACAGGTAAACCATCCCACCAGAGCACTAATGAGCAGACTGCTACATTTTACTTTATTTTGCTTGTAAGGAAAACAAATTGACTAAGCTGTCCCCGAATTTCTAGTTATAACAGATGTATTTCTAAAACAAGCAGTAAATTAACAAAATTATGGCAGACAGTGCCATATTCCCGGAATTCCAGAAGCCCTGGATTAATGATGAGACCCGAGTTAAGTCCCAGCACTGCCACTTACTGGCAGCCATCTTAAAGTCTATTTCCTTATTTGTAAAAGGGACCTCTTAATCCGGGATTGCCTACACCATGGCACCATTGTAAAAATCTGGTTAAGTAAACTGTATAATGAGACATAATTGAAGATCGATTGATTTTATTTAGAGATGGGGGTCTCACTGTTATCCCAGGCTGGAGTGCAGTGGTGCAATCATAGCTCACTGCAGCCTCAACCTCCGAGGCTCAAGCGATTCTCCCACCTCGGCCTCCCAAGTAACTGGGACTGTAGGCACATTCTGCCATGCCCAGCTCTTAATATAAACTTTAAAATGTGGCTGGAGATTATAAGGGCCCTAAAGCCTTTGCCTGCTTTGTATTTTCTGCCAACCCCTCATTTCCCAATCTCTGCCAGAACCCCAGCAACTAAAAGAAAGGCGTCCAGTTTTCAGTTGTCAGAATCCCTCACTAAGCAGGATGCTCTGCACAGAGCCCTTTGCTGGGAAATTCCTCTGGTTCCATCTCTCTCCCAATGTTTACTGACCAGGGATCCTTCCTTTCTGCCTTTGTCCTTCCCTCTCTCCAAGGTTCACAGGTAAACCATCCCACCCCAAAGAGCACCAAAGAGGCAGACTGCTACATTTTACTTTATTTTGTTGTAAGGAAAACCAATTGACTAAGTTGTCCCCAAAATGTTAGTGTTCACTGATCAAGAAGGAAATGAGGTCAGAAGGCAAACTTTTCACTTCTTCTCAAACATAAATTGCAAGTATCACAGAAAATTGTAACAACACATGCAACACGGGATGGCTTTCAACACACAGAGAGCCTAAGCAAGAAGAGTGAGTACTGAAGGTCTACAGAGGTCAGACTGGGAGCACTACCACAGGAAGTTTGAATCTATCCACGCAGCTCTTTCCTCCCACAGTCCAGGCTCAACACCTCTTCCTATTCCAAGGTGGCTTATCCATATGCAGAAATCCAGGCTGTTCCATATACATTAATACTTGCCCAGCTGTGTTTCACGAGGCATCTCCATAAGCCAAGCCCCGACTCAAATTCTGTACAGGAAGTTCCCGTTGCTGTCAAAGAACTCTCGGCCCCTCTGCACTACTTTGCTGCTGAAGTTATCTGGCTCCTCTGCCTTCAACTCCTCCAGCTTCTGACCACTTGGCAACGCACCACTGCCAGTTCCTCTGGGGCTCTCAGAATCACTGGAGTACTTCTGCAGCTCTCTTGGATGACCTAGGGGTGCAGCAACAGGCACAAAGCTCTCCTCCAGGTCCTGGATTTCTTTATTTCTTCCCTTCCTTCTCCTTGGTGTATTTGTCCTGTGAGTGTCTGACTCTATCACTTTCAAAGCTGTGCTGTGATTTGGGTCTTTAGATGAGGCTTCATGCCCTGGCATAAGCAAAGAGCCTGATACAGAGTGGCCTGCAGGGAGCAGCTTTGAGGTATTTCCAGAGCCCCGGAGGTGCTGCAGCGAGTGGGCAAGCCCAGCTTTCTTAAGGACTTTTTGATCCTGCTTCAGCTTCTGCTCCAATGTGGGTAAAAACTTGCTTTTTAAAACTCTTCGGATCACATCAGTGCTGACATCAAAGCCTTCAGCCAACCTGGGAACTGACCAGGACTCTGGAAATTCCTCATGTAAATACCTACGGGAAGAAGGAGCAGGTTTGCAAGTTGTGAAGAAGTCTCCTATCAGAACATCTAACTCGCAATACCTATGATAAAGAAGAGGGGTTGAGGCCTGGCATGGTGGCTCACACCTGTAATCCCAGAACTCTGAGAGGCCGAGATAGGCGGATCACTTGAGCCCAGGAGTTCGAGACCAGTGATTCTTGTGCCTGAGCCTCCGAAGTAGCTGGGATTACAGGCATGAGCTACCACGTGGCACAAGAATCACTTGAACCTGGGAGGTGAAGGCTGCGGTGAGCCGAGATTGCACCACTGCACCACTGCACTCCAGCCTGGGCAACAGAGTGAGACTCTCCCAAAAAAACAAAAAAAGAGAGCTTGAAAAACCGCAAATGTAGTCCCTATCTTGTGCTAGCTAAATCTTGTGCTAGTCCCTATCTTGTGCTAGTTAAATGGCTGTGTTCCATTTCTGTGTGTCAACAGCAACACCTGACCACTGTCAGTCAGGTCACTTCATTTCACATCAACTCAGCTCCTCTCACTGACATCTAATACCACAATAGATCCTGGGGACGCAGGAGGACTGACCTTCCCATTACATAGTTTGGGAGTGGGGACAGACAAAATAAATGACATTATGGTAAAGGTTATAGCACAGGATGCAAAGACAGCACCCCAGGAGGGAGACCCAGATATAGGGAATAAGAACACTTATAGCCAGGCCCAGGAATTGCTTCATGAAGTCCAAGCTAGAGTTGGTCTGAAAGGATGAAAGGAGTAATAAGCTGGCAGAAGGGAGGAGAGAAGGAGAGATGAAAGATACTGATGATAAAGTGAAGAGCTTGTGAAATGTAAAGCGGCACATCACCTTTGTTGGGAATAACTCAACTGACAGTGAGGGTAAGAAGTAGATCACACTTAGGGGTCTGGAGTTTATCCCAAGGCAACAGCAAGTCAAGGAAAAATTTTAAGCAGTGGAATGCCACAGATAAATTTTCATTTTGAAGTTCAACCTACAGCCTGGCACAATGGCTCACTCCCAGCACTTTGAGAGGCTGAGGCAGGAGGATTGCTTGAGCCCAGGAGTTCGAGACCAGCCTGGGAAACAGGGAGATCCCATCTCTATTAAAAAAAGAAAAAAAGGAATTCAACCTAGTGGTAGTTTTTCAGTGACAAAAGTATAGGCAGAAAGATTGGTCAAGAGGCTTTTACAGTAATCCAGATAGTCTCGAGTGAGACAGTCAATGGAGCATAGGAGGAAAGTGAGTTGAGAAATATTTTAAGAAAGTCAAATAGTACAACTTGGTACTAAGGGACTAAATATTGGGGGAAGCATCATCAAGGCCAAGATGCAGGATTTTAGCTTGGGTAATCAGTAGGTTATAGGAAAAACAGGAACAGAATGAAGTTGTCAGGGAACAACGATGAATTCTATTTTGTACATGCTGAGTTTGAGGAAACTGTGATATCCAAAACAGAGATGTCTGGTACACAGTTGAATATATGCCTTTAGATTTCAGGAAAAAAAACATGAACTGGAGATGACAGATTTGGAAGTCATAAGCCAATAGCAGGGGTGACTGAGTGGCTAGCATCAGGCAGGGAAATATGCAGAGTGAACTAAAATGACAAGGACAGAACTCTATGAAATAACAATATTTAAGATATAGGAGGTAGAAGAGGAGCCCAGGAAGGAAACTGAGAAAAGCAGCCCTAGAAACAAAGAAAAAAAGATCAGAAGGGAATGGTACCCTGGAGTCAAGGGAGAAGAGAATTTTAAGAAAGCAGTTCACCATGGCACATGTACACCTATATAACAAACCTGCACATTCTGCACATGTACCCCAGAACTTAAAGTAAAATTAAAATAATAAAAATAAAAAAAGGCTGGGTATGGTGGCTCACGCCCGCCTGTAATCCCAGCACTTTTGGGAGGCTAAGGCAGGCAGATCACTTGAGGTCAGGAGTTCAAGACCAGCCTGGCCAACACGCTGAACCCAACCTCTACTAAAAATCCAAAAAAAAAAAAAAAAAAAAAAAAATTAGCCAGGTATAGTGGTGTGCACCTGTAATTCCATCTACTTGGAAGGCTGAGGCACGACAATCACTTGAACCCAGGAGGCAGAGGTTGCAGTGAGCCAAGATCATGCCACTGCACTCCAGCCTGGCAGCAGAATGAGACTCCGTCTCAAAAAAAAAAAAAAAAAAAAAAGAGAGAATCAGTGTCAATCAATAAATAAATAATGGGGGGGGGGGGGTGGGAGAAAGCAGTTTCAGCTGGGTGCAGTAGCTCACACCTGTAATCCTAACACTTTGGGAGGCCAAGGCAGGCAGATCGCTTGAGCTCAGAAACTGGAGACCAGGTTGGGCAACATGGCAAAATCCTGTCTTTATTTAAAATATATATATATATTTTAATTTAAAAGGCAGTTTTTACAAGGGCAAATGCTGCTGAATTATTTAGGACGCTAAGGACTACAAAGTGTCTTTTTGAGCCTAGCACTGAGGAAGTCACTGATGGATTTAAGGAGAGCAGTTTTATTGCAGTGATACAAACAAACAAAGGGTAGGCACCCTGGGAACCAGCTGGGAACAAAAGAATGAGAGAGAGCTTTAGGTTGAGGACAGAGGTCCTTGAGTAATCTTATGCAGGGAGAAATATGACCTAAAGCATACAGAGAATTGGTCCCAGACAAGTGAAGGGCTCCCATTTCCTCTGAAATGGGAGTAGAGTATAAGTTTGAGAGTAGTGGGCAAAGAGGAAGACCAGGAAGCTGAAAGTTTTTACTTAATGGACTGTTTTTTTTTTTTCCTCTTAAAAGGACATTTATTGACCACAATAAAGGGAGATAAGTAGGAAGGTGGAAGGTTTGAAAAAGCTATTGTTGAAGACAGGAGATAGAGGCCGGCATGGTGGCTCATGCCTGTAATCCCAGCACTTTGGGAGGCCGAGGTGGGTGGATCACCTGAGGTCAGGGGTTTGAGACCAGCCTGGCCAACATGGTGAAACTCTGTCTCTACTAAAAATACAAAAATTAGCCAGGTGTGGTGGTGCACGCCTGTAATCCCAGCTACTTGGGAGGCTGAGGTCCAAGAATCTCTTGAACCTGGAGGCAGAGGCTGCAGTGAGCTGAGATTTCGCCACTGCACTCTGGCCTGGGCGACAGAGTGAGACTGCCTCAAACAAAAAACAAACAAACAAACGAAAAAAAGAGGAGCTAGACCTGACTGAGGACTCAGAAGGTGCTACAGGCTCACAAAATCTTGAGCAGCTCTACAGAATCCCCTTTATTTTAAATTTCAATTCCAGAGTCATTCTGATGGAAATGAAAAATAGTACATAATCTATGTAGGGCTACTTAGCAATATTTATCAAATTGCAAATGCATTTGTCTTTTGACCTGGCAACCTTACTTCTGGGAATGTATATAACAAATATTCCTGGCAGGTATGCAGAATGATACACATACGTAGTTATTCACTGGGGCACTATTAGTGAGCAACAGAAATGGAAACAACCCAACTAAATGCCCACAATAAAAGACAGGTTAAATAATGCATTCTGGCCAGGCATGGTGGCTTACGCCTCTAATCCCAGCACTTTGGGAGGCCGAGATGGGAAGATCAGTTGAGGCCAGAAGTTTGAGACCAGCCTGGTCATCATAGTGAGACCCCCATCTCTGTCAAATAAATAAATAGGAGAAAAAATTGTTTAAATAAAAATTAAAAACCACTGTCATATACTGCCTCATATACTGCCTCAAAAAAATATAATAACACCATCTATAAAAAAAGAATTGAGGGCCAGGCGCAGTGGCTCACTCAGGGCACAGAGCCTAGTTTTTGGTAGAGAAAAACTATTAAAAATAGTACAGCTGCACACAGTGGCTCATGCCTGTAATCCCAACACTTTAGGAGGCTGAGGTGGGATGATCGCTTGAGCCCTGGGAATTGGAGACTAGCATGGGCAACATGATGAGGCTATCTCTACAAAAAATAAACAAAATTAACCAAGCATGGTGGCATGCACCTGTAGTCCCAGCTACTTGGGAGGACGAAGTGGGAGGATGGCTTGGGCCCAGGAGGTAGAGGCTGCAGTGACCGGTGATCACATCATTGTACTCCAGCCTTGGCGACAGAGTGAGACCCCCAACTACCAAAAAAAAAAAAAAAAAGTACCCACAGGAGAGTGGGTGGGACAAATAATTCTCAATGTGTATACCATGTTATACTGTTAGGTTGAGCCATATGTAATACTTTACCTACTCAAAACAAAAAAACTTAAAAACTCTTTTAAGCTTTCCTAAATTATAGATCCTGTCTTCAGAAAAATGCACCTACCTATGGAAGCACCAGCATCCCTGTACCTTAGGTTGGGAACGTCACAACCTACATTCAAGGGTTAAATGTTGTGATGTCTGCGATTTACTATTTAAAAATTTCAGTAAAAATGAACCAACCACGTCATAACGTTAAAAACTATTAAAACCAGGCGGGGCGCAGTGGCTCATGCCTGTAATCCCAGCACTCTGAGAGGCCGAGGCGGGAGAATCACTTGAGGTCTGGAGTTCGAGGCGATAGCGAAACCCCGTCTCTTTAAAAAACAAAACAAAACACTATTAAATCTAGATAATGACAGGGTTAGGGAAGTTCGTTATATTACTCTACTTTTCTGATAATAAATTTCAACGACAAAAAGTAAACGAAAATATAAAAGCAGTATCAAAAAAGCCAAACCCGTTTCTGGGCTCCAGCATCCTTCACTTCTCATCACAGCGGATACAAACAAGGTATCCTGAGTCTCACCGTATCTGCTCCATGGCTTCCCACGTCAGGGTCCTGGGCGGGGCACCAGGCGCCTCCATTTGCCTCCGAATTTTCTGGAATCGGATTGCTTGTTTCTGTCGTTTCAGGGTGCTGGGGGAAGAGAACCAATGGCAGAAGCCATGCGTGGAAGCAGAATGGATGTTTGAAGAGCCTCAGGCTAAATCATGGAGCGCCCAGCCCTCTTCTCTTTGATCGCAAGGGCAACCGGGCCATGTTGCCGGCTTAGAGCTGCTCCGTACACCCAGAAAGCTAACACCTAGAACAATAACTGCCTGTAAGCATGCCGAACTCTCTAAACTGATGATGAAATACGTCACTAATGAAGGGACCAGTGGTCCCAGGGGAGCTGAACACCTGACGCTGCGCCCCTAACAACGGGTAAGAAGAAACAAGGGCCGCTGCGCAAGCAGCGGCAGGACACCCGGCGCCAAGGGGGCGCGGCCTGGAGCGCCGGGGCACGAGGCCCTGCTTCAAGCTGAGGGCCCGGGGAGAAGCCGGTACCTCTCCACCTCCTGCAGCTCCCGTTCCTCCGGCTCCCAGTCGGAATCGGGGTCCGGCTCCCGGCCAATAGGGCCTGGGCCCGCCACCCCCCGGGTCGCGAACCCACAGCGAGTGACGGCGGCGCAAACGCGCCCGCCCAGCAAGAGACTCAGGGTAACCGCCATGTCGACGCAAACCAGCCTTCAGCAGTCGGCTACGAAACAGCAGCGGAAGTAGCCGGGTAAGACCGGAAGTGGAAGGGGCGGGCCGGAGGCTGGGTAGTAGCAAGTTATTTCCCGCTTCACTTGGTGGGGGTAAGATCTGGGCTCACGCTGCTCAGTGGCCCACCCTTTCTGCCTGTAACTGTGGAGAGGGCTTCCCTGAAACGTGAGGGCCGAAATGAGGTACAGGACGCTCCTGGAAAACTGCATAAACTTTAATTAAAGTACGGATTCCGTTTCCAAGAGCCGTCCCTCCGCCCCAGCGGCTGCCCAGGCCTGCCTGTCTCCGCCACCTCGGTGGGCAGGGCTTCCGCTCGGCAGTCTTCTGACGGCGACAGCCCAGTGCCTTGGGCACTCGGCTTCTCTGGGAAAGGGGCTCATTGTCTCCTGGATGGCCTCCAGCCCCGGGCCGCACCTAGGGTTCAGACCCATCACCTAGCGATAAACCCAGGCTAAGGCTTGATGAGCAGAAATGAGTACATGGCTGGCCTTGGCGCCTCTTCATCTTCTAGTCTTTACCGATCCCCAATTAATCTTAGGGTATTGAGGAATTCTTGGTGTCTTTGTATTTTGCCTTATACAAATGGGGTTCCTGGGCAGGGCTTTTCAAAGTGGAACTTGGTGGCAGTCATTCATTTAGCAAAGATTTAATGCCCTTTGGAAACCTGGGGAGGTTATCCAGGAGAGGTAGAGTGCTTCCCTCCTGCTTTTACCTGAACTGATTGATGTTGAGGAGTGCTCTGGAACGCTGCAGCATGGGTGCAGACGCAGGGCAGAGGGGAACCTTGGCTGCTCTGTGTTCAGAGTTTACCATGGAGGGCAAGGTGCATTCAGTCCATGAGTCAGATGCCACTCTTTCCGGTTGCAGAAAATAGCCCTGCTTTGGGGTTAAAGTGGGTGGCACTGATCCTGCCAGGACTCGGTTTATGGCTTCTAGCCTTCTGCTGGCTTGTCCTTCTGCAGTGGAAACATGGATGTCCCTGAGTTGGTATTCACAGAAGAGATTTGTTCACCTCTTTCCCAACTGTGGCCCAATTACCAACACAGAGGAAGGGCATCTCATGCTTCCCTCCACTGTCTTTCCCACACTGTATTGTAATTGGTATGGTATGTCTTTTTGTCCATGTTCCTATTACCTCTTGAGTGCTGGGACTGTATTTCTGCCATTTCTATCACCAGGGTCTAGTGTACAGAAAGGATTAAATAGGCCTGGTGCGGTGGCTTACACCTGTAATCCTAGCACTTTGGGAGACTGATTCAGGTGGATCAGGAGTTCAAGACCAGCCTGGGCTACGTGGCAAAAACAAAATATACAAAAGTTAGCCGAGCATGGTGGTGTGTGCCTATAGTCCCAGCTACTCAGGAGGCTGAGTCAGGAGAATTACTTGAGCCCGTGAGTGGAGTTTGCAGTGAAGTGAGATCAAGCCATTGTACTTCAGCCTTGGCGACAGAGCGTGACCTTGTCTCAAAAAAAAAGGAGTAAATAAATGGGTACCCTAACTTCCCCATTCTTACACTGGTGGAAGTGCCATATTATATTTTAGGGGCATCCAAGCTCTATGCTTGCTAGTGGGATTTACATATGTCAAAATGACCAAAGCTAGTTTTGCATACTTACGGCTAGTGAGCCTGATTCTGGCACTGGAAAAATAGCACCTCCCAGCCTTCTTCATTGACAATGAACAGGAGTTGATGGCTGCCGGCTCTCCTGTCCAGTTGAAGTTCTTGGGCTGCAGATGGTACCGGGGAACATGTGGGATTGCAGCATTCATGCTTGGCAGTGCCCCTAAGATCCTGGGGATTGATTCATGGGGCAGAACTGGATGCAGGAAATGAGGAGCGCCCTGCTCTGTGGCAGCCCCTCTTAGGAGCACCAGTAGGACCAGACTCATAGATTTCAGTTCTTGACTGCCCAGCCTGTCCTAGCAAAATCTAGGCTAGAGGAGAAGAGCAGCCCCTTACCACATTTTTATGTAAGTTTGGATGGAGCGTTGGAAGAAGGAGGTAACTGAAAAAAATCTCTTCTAGGCCGCGGCCACTATTTAACCAGATACTCCTTTGGGGTTCAACAAAAACAGAAGACCCAACAGGTTTGCTACCAGCCCAGGGAATAGTGAAAGCGGCAGCTCTTTTGTTGGCCCAAATCTGTTTACTTATCTCCCATTAGAGCTGGGGCACTGGCAGTGCTAGGGAGAAAATTATACAGAAGCCACTGAGGGTGGTGGGCTTGTTATTTGTCAGTCATGAGTGTGGGGTTATTTTGGGACAGGAATATAGAGAGCAAGTTTCCTGTAAATGAGAAGGTTTGGAGCTGCAACTTGCTGGATGTCATATCTAAAACAAAGGAGCTTGGGAACAGACGCAAAAGGAATCAACAGACCCTCTCCCAAGGTCCAGCTAGCGCACTCTGCTTTCCCAGGCTCCACTGACAGATACCATCACACAAGCCTCCTTTGTTGAGACCAACACCATGTCCTGGAATGACAGCCCTTGTTCCCTTTTCCTCTGGGAGACTTCACAGGGACCCTCACCCGACTCTCATGAAGTTTTTTCTGGCCCTGGGGGCCAGGGTGCTGCAGACGGGTGAGCTGCTCTACAATACCCAGGCTTCGGATGAGAGTCTCCCTTTGTAGCAGGGCCTTCATCCGCTCCAGCTCCTCCTCTTCCACAATTTCTTGAGGCCTCATGGTGTCCAGCTGTCCCGGCAGCAGCTACAAGGTACATGAGAGATAAATGCAGGATCTCCAAGGATAAGTCCCAAACCATCACCCAGGATGGCTACAGGCCTCCTGCCCACTCTACCCTCATCCCTTCCCTGACCCAGGAAGGTTCCTTTTGCTGTCCATTCTCTCACTTCATCTTCCAAAGGATCGGATTCAATTTACTGATTAGGAACTCCTCTCTCTCTTGTGCATGGGGAGGAGAAGACAGCAGAGATTCATTCCCCTATCTAGTTGTCCCAACCCATTTTCCTGTGGAAAGATAAGAGCTACAAAACCCCTGGCACCTCTTTCTCCCAGTTGCGGTTCCTGTAAGCCAAGTGGGTGGAAAGGCTCTGGAGCCCTGCCCTGGGTCGGCTTTTCTCCCCAGCTGATTCACCCTGGTTCTGGTCCCTGGCCTTTTGCCTCTTAGTGCCCGAGGTCTCCTGCTGTTCCTGCTTAAGGCGGATCTCCTCTAGTTGCTGCCTGACAAGACACAGCAGCTTCAGACAGTAGAGAAATGGTGTTGGGGAGAAGAGGGGTGAGGAAAAATGGGGATGAGGAAAGAGCAGGAAATTACAATCTGTTCTTAGGACTGATGCGAGAGCAATGAGAGGGGAAGATAGGAAACCTACTAAACTGAAAAGAGTCACTAAGAGTCTGATAGGATTTATAGCTCCATTCCTCTTTGCTGGTGTCTGGCTTCCTCTTTCCCTGCTGGGAAGCAATGCAGCTTCAGGACTTGTCCCCACCTAGGTGTGCAGAGGAGAATGTCGGTCAAAGTACCTGGCACACTCCTCTCTGGCCTTGGAAGCAGCAGTCTCTTGGAAGAGGGAGCCATTGTGCTTGAAGAAGCGGGCATACTTCTCTGTGTCAGGCCCAGGGTAGATCCGCCGGTATTTTCCCAGGTGAGAATCCTCATATCGTTCCTGGTCCAGCATTGCCACATGGGATGACTCAGTTTTTTCTTTCCTGTGGAAAGCAAGCTCAGTGAGTCAAGAGTAGGGCTGTGGGAATGTTCAGTAGGGAAAGGAAGACTGACTAAGGTTTGGAGACCCTCCTGCTGGCTTCTTGACCTCCTGGGCCCCTGCCCAAGTAGGGAAAGCTGCCAAGCCCATCTTTGGCTAGCCCCACATGTGGGTAGCCATGAAAATAGGCTTGACTTCCAGAAATCTGATTTGCTTTTCTTTTCTTTTTTGAGACAGGGTCTTGCACTGTTGCCCATGCTGGAGTGCACTGGCACAATCTCTGCTCACTGTAACCTCTGCCTCCCAGGTTTAAGCAGTTCTCCTGCCTCAGCCTCCCAAGTAGCTGGGATTACAGGCATGCACCACCATGCCTGGCCAATTTTTGTATTTTTAGTAGAGACAGGGTTTCACCACGTTGGCAAGGCCGGACCTCAAGTGATCCACCCACCTCGGCCTCCCAAAGTGCTGGGATTATAGGTGTGAGCCACCGTACTCGGCCTGATTTTCATCTTAAGTGGAGAGGGGTCTACTCGTAAGCTAGCAGTCCATTATCATAGTTTTTTAGGTTTCTGATTGTAAAAGTAACATATGTTTTGATATTAGCTTTCCATTTGAAAAAAAAAAAAAAAGTGGCCGGGCATGGTGGCTCACGCCTGTAATGCAAGCACTTTGGGAGGCCAAGGCGGGTGGATCACTTGAGGTTGGGAATTCGAGACCAGCCTGGCCAACATAGCGAAACCCTGTTTCTACTAAAAATACAAAAATTATCTGGGCTTGGTGGCGTGTGCCTGTAGTCCCAGCTACTTGGGAGGCTGAGGCAGGAAAATTTTTTGAACCCAGGAGGTGGAAGTTGCAGTGAGCCAAGATCGTGGCACTGCACTCCAGCCTAGATGACAGAGTGAGACTAGTCTCAAAAAAAAAAAAAAGAAAACAAGAAAAAAAGGTAATATACGTTCATTACAGAAAATTTAGAAGAGCAGAAAGAAGATAAAGCCTTCCATAATCTTACTATGCAATTAGCATGTTGATTATGAGCATGAATCTGAGGCAGGACCTCTTGACTTTGAATCCTGGCTCTGCCACTCACTAGCTTGTGCGTGCATGCGTGTGTCCTTCCTTCCTTCCTTCCTTTCTTTCTCTCTTTTTTTTTTTTTTTTTTGAGACAGAGTCCTGCTCTATCGCCCAGGCTGGAGTGCAGTGGCACAATCTCAGCTCACTGCAACCTCCGCCTCCTGGGTTCAAGCGATTCTCCTGCCTCAGCCTCCTGAGTAGCTGGGATTACAGGCATGCACCACCACGCCCAGCTAATTTTTGTATTTTTAGTAGAGATGGGGTTTCACCATGTTGGCCAGGATGGTCTTGATCTCTTGACCTCCTGATCCGCCCACCTCAGCCTCCCAAAGGGCTGAGATTACAGGCCTGAGTCACTGCACCTGGCCGCTTGCTTGCTTTCTTCAAATGAAAATGAAATAATGCAACAATATTTTTATTTTATTTTTTAATTTAATTTTTTGAAACAAGGTCTCACTCTATCGTCCAGGCTGGAGTGCAGTGATGCAGTCTCAGTTCGCTATAACCTCAGCCTCCCAGGCTGAAGCCATCCTCTCACCTCAGCCTCCTAAGTAGCTGGGACCATAGGCGCGCACCATTACGCTTGGCTAATTTTTGTATTTTTTGTAGAGACAGGGTTTTGCCTGTTGCCCAGGCTGGTCTCAAACTCGTGAGCTCAAGGGATCCACCCACCTCAGCCTCCCAAAATGCTGGGATTACAGGTGTGAGCCACCACACCTGGCCACAACAATATTTTTAAATGGCTGCCTAGTACTCTAGTGTACGATTGTATTTTGTTTATTTAGTCCAGTACTGTTCAACCATTTTTCCTTATTGAAAGACACATTTCATGACCCTCAGGTACACAGTCCAGTCTTGTGGGAATAGCCAGTATATTACAGTTCTACTTCACTCCCATTCATCACGCAGACATCTGAGTGCTTACGGTGTCCCAGGCCCTGTGGCTCTCGTGGGGAATCAAACACACACTGCCCCTGCATATTGGAATGTAAGTGGGAAGAGCAATGTGATCATAGTGATAACTATACATGTACTGAAATTCATTTGTATGTATCATTAACAAATTACAATTTTAGTATCGGTGACCAGTTACCATGTTTGTAACTCATTTTACAAAGAAAACAACAATGGGTGACCAACACGGATGTAAACGATTCTCTATTATTGAATGACTAAACTGTTTTCTGTGTTTCTTTATGACAAAGTTTCTCAGGAACTGGTTTCTAAAGGAGATTTGTTAGAAAAACAAACCAGCTAATCAAACCACAGAAAGTTCCTTATGTGCTAACATGAGAATGGCTCTAAAATACGTTGCTAACCAGGGTGCAGACAGTGTGAAAGTTATGCCTCTGTCTGAGTAGGCAGGGAGAAAAATATTTTGTATAAATACATATATATTAAATGCGTACTATATACATATGATAGTAGGAATGTTGATTGGCTCCAGAGAGGAAAACTGAGTACCTGGAGGAGAAGGGGAGGAGAAAGACTACCCTCTGTATTTTTAAAATTTTGAACTTATCTATGATATATGACTTTTTTTTTTTTTGAAACAGGGTCTCACTCTGTTGCCCAGGCTGGAGTGCAGTGGTGCAAACATGGCTCACTGCAGGCTTGACCTCCTGGGCTCAAGTAACCATCCCACCTCAGCCTCCTGAGTAGCTGGGAATACAGGCATGTCACCATGCCCAGCTAATTTTTTATTTTTTAATTATTATTCCTTTGTTTCTTTTTTGTGTTTTAGGGACAGAGTCTCACATGTTGCCCAGTCTGGTGTTGAACTCTAGGGCTCAAGCAATCCTCCTGCCTCAGCCTCCCAAAGTGCTGGGATTACAGATATGAGCCACCAAGCCTGGTCCTGTGATTTTTTTAATGCAAATATGAACATATTATCTATGCAAAAAGTTGTTTTTGATAGCAAATCAGCCCCAGGCCACATTCTTCATCTAAAGGAGGACTTTTACTCTCAGGAATAATGAAGAACTAAACACATGCCAGACACCTAGCACACCTAGATTCTCGTGGCTGTCGGTAGCACTGGAAAAGCCGTTCCTTGACTCGCCGCTTATCCTCCTCCATCACCTTCCTTTTGTCACAGCCCCGGAGGTTGACAAGGGTCATAGCATCACAGAGAAGTGCATCCTTTACTTCTTGATCAAGGCATGAGTCCGTGGTAAAGCTTGGAGAGTGGTTTACCTGCCAGGAGGAGTCATTATACACCCCTTTCCCAGACCACCTGAGCAGGTGGTGGCCTCTTGCAGGCATTAACTAGAGGGTCTAAGATATTCCTCTCCCATGGCCTCAGCCGGGGAGGCTGGATGCTCTGGCTTCCAAGGCCACAAAACTCTGCCATAGAGATCTCCAATTCACAGACCAGTGAGAGCAAATCAGCTGGCCTGCCTCTCTAGATAGTGTGTCCCTAAAGACTTACATTAGGGCACTGGGGATCCCAAACCTGCATTCCTACGGTAGAGGCCAAAAACCACCAAGATTTGACTCAGCAGGTCAAAAGGGTAGAGATCTTATGCCTTCTGCTCATTCCTGCCCACCCCAGGGCTTTCACATCTCCCATTCTGTGTTCCACCACCTGAGTGTACCCCTGTCCCAGGTGTCCTATTCAAGGAGGCCTCTGGACCTTGGTTTTGCAAAGCCTAGGAGATAATCCTCACCTCTAGCAGCCAGGGCTTCAACTTGTGGTCCAGCAAGATGTCAAAACCAAGGATTTCAAAACAGGCACATGTACCTCCATTCAGATACTGGGGAAAACAGGTTCGGTAGTTGTGGCGTAGAACAGAATGGGCTGAGATGATGGTTTTGATGATGATGTCCTCGATGTCCCCCCACAGCTCTCCAGGGTTGTAGCTGTGCTCTTGCAGCCAGATGTTGAGTGTCGACAGCTTCCTGCGAGGCCCAGTGCTCAGAGGAAGGCCAGTTTCTAGGCCACTGGGCCAGGCTGTAGGCAGGAGGCTCCCTCACACTAACGCTAATTGCATGCCCGGGCTTTGAAGGGCTGCTAGCAGTTTGGAGCAGGGACTAGTTATCAGGGTGAGGTTTGGGGCTGCACTTAGAGCTCCAAAGTGCAGGCACAGGACAGGGTCTATAAAGGCTGAGTTTCCCTGGGCAATTAGCCTCCCAAGAGCCAGCTTGGTTTCATGGGCTACTGGGACTGTGGGGCTAAGGGGCAGAGGAAGCAGGAGAAAACAGAGTAGGGAGTACCTCTTACTGCCCACAGCGCCATCCCGGACAAAATTCTCATTGTGTTTGTTGATAGCATAGTTGGTCAGGTGCATGCAGACATTGTCCTGTGGAAAGAGTGGCCCTGTGGTCTCAGACTGTCTGCATGCGGCCGTCCTCTCCAGCCCTTCATTACCTTGTTGCTCCCCACCCCTCCCGAGGATCTCTCGTCTCCTGTCTCTCTCCACCAGAGGACTGCTATTCTAGATGATCCTGGGGAAGAGTGTGTGCTGGGCTCCTCCGGGTGCTGACCTTTTCTCCTTCACCACCTACCAAACACTTGCCTCCCAGCTAGATGCTGCAGCTCTTGCTGGCTTCATTCCTTGTTCTTTGGTGACAGTGACAAACCTCTCTACCATGTTTCTCTAGAGAACCTCAGCACTTTTGGCAGTGGAAAAGAAGAGTGCTTCCCAGTCCCCTTACCAGGTTGTTATGGCTGGGCTCCATATAGGGCGTGGTGGCAAAACGGGCTAGGCCCTCCTCATATGTGAAGATCCGGAGAGGGTCACAGGATGTGATCAGGACGTAGACTCGCATATCAAACTTGAAGCCATCAATGAGGAGGGGCTGGGAGCATGCAAACCCATGAGGGAATAATAACACTTTTGAAGTGCCTACTATGTGCTGTTCTAAGTGCTTCACACACATAGCTAATTGAATTTCCACAATAACCATGTAAAATAGTTACTGTTATTACTCCCACTTAATAAATGAGGAGAGGCCAGGCATGGTGGCTCATGCCTGTAATCCCAGCGCTTTGAGAGGCTGAGGAGGGTGGATCACGAGTTCAGGAGTTCAAGACCAGCCTGGCCAAGATGGTGAAACCCCGTCTCTACTAAAAATACAAAAGTTAACTGGGCGTGGTGGCAGGTGCCTGTGATCCCAGCTACTCAGGAGGCTGAGGCAGAGAATTGCTTGAACCCGGGAGGCGGAGGTTGCAGGGAGCTGAGATCGTGCCGCTGCACTCCAGCCTGGGCAACACAGAGAGACTCCATCGAAAGAAAGAGAGAGAGAGGTAGAGAGAAAGAAGGAAGAAAGGAAGGGAAGGAAAGGGAGAAAGAAAGAAGGAAGGAAGGAAGGAAGGAAGGAAGGAAGGAAAGAAAGAAAGAAAGAAAGAAAGAAAGAAAGAAAGAAAGAAAGAAAGAAAGAAAGAAAGAAAAAGGAAGGAGACAGAGGCACAGAGAGAGGGTAAGAAACTTGCCCAAGGTCACATATCTGGGAAGTGGAAACTGAGATTCAACCCCAGGCAGGCTGGTTCTGAACCATGGCTGGATACTGCCTCCAGGAAAACGGGGCTAGTGGGAAGGGTAGAAGCCTAAGACCAGCTTCCTCCCTGGCTTTTGGGAGAGATGAGGCAGCCCAGTGCTGGGGACTAGGGAAGGCTGATGGTCCTGAGGCATCCTTCACCTTGGAGATGTATTGCTGGCAGATCATATGCTCTCCTGGCTTGATCTCCCGGGGATTTCGGGTAATGAAGATGCCACGTCCCTGACAGCCACTGTCTGGCTTGCAGATATATGTGCGGGCTTTTCGCTGACGACCGTAGGACTGGAAGTCCCCATAGCTATGTGCAGAGAGGGCCTGGTCAAAAGGTTTCTGTGCATCAAGGCTTTCCCGGGGCCGCATGGAGCTCTTCCTGCTATCTAGTCCATGCTCTTCCTGGAGCACTCAGTCTCAGACCCTCTTTTCTTTGACCAGCTGAAACTTTCTCATTCCACTTCCATCCCTCTGAGACATTCCTAGGTCACAAGACCAGAGCTCTGAGAGCGACCCTTTTCCTCCCCCTGGTATCTCAGCATGGGAAGCCAGACCCACTCACTCTGCGGGGAGGCACCAGGTGCGGGGGAAGATGTTGTACTCAGAGGGATAGAGTTTGTACATGCGGTTGAGGTTCCGAGCCAGCAGATCTTTGCGGCAGATTTCTGTCATGCCAGGGAAGTGGTTGATTTTCTGAAACACAGCCAGTTAGTATGAGCCCCCAGAGTAAGTGGCATTTCCTAGCACCTGGGCATCCCAGGAAGCAGTGGAGGAGGATTGGGAAGGTTAAGGGAGAAGTCACAGTGGAGGTAAGCACTGCACCAAGGACCCCAAGGGCAAACATAGGAAGGTTCCTTAAGGCAGGTGAGAAAACCCTCTGTGACTCCTACCCAACACACACATCCACACTGAGCTCAGCAAATGAGGGGCAGTGAGAAGGAATGTAACTAGCCAAGACTGTGGCTTCCACAGTCCACCTTCTAACACCCCTCAGACCACCAGGCCTAGTCCTCTAACAATAACTAATGCATGATAGCACAAAGCAGACAATGAGACGAAAGCATTCCCCAAAAGACACAAAAGATAAAAGGAAACTAAGAACCAGCCCCAAGGAATGTGATGCCATGGCACCCACTGAGGGCATGGCATCACCCTGGTGCCTGCCAGAAACCCCTGGCTGCTCTGTCCTGCTGGATGGGTGGCAGCATCCGGGATGCCACCAAGTAAAGAACAAATAATGAGATAGGATGTACCCACCAGACACTTCCTTCAGGTAATTCCAGAGACCCAGGAGGAGAATCTTTCCGTTGGAAAAGAATACCCTGGGGATGGTCTTTCCTGTCTGCACAGGGGGACAGCCACAAAGAGTATGCTAAGTGCTCTCCACTGGGTTTCCCCATCACTGGCCGCACTCACTGTATGAACTTAGTATTTCTGACCCTCCATGTCCTAACCAAGGGATATCTGCTGCTCAGGGCTGTTCTTGAGGATTTAATGGGGTAATACTATAAAAGCACTTAACACGGAGTCTGTTGTACAGTAAGCCCTCAGTAAATGCTGCTGATTATTGTTATCCTTATCCTTTTTTTTTCCCCCTTCCCTGAGACAGGGTCTCCCTCTGTCGCCCAGGCTGGAGTGCAGTGGTGTGATCTCAGCTCACTGCGGCCTCTGCCTCCCAGGCTCAAGAGATCCTCCTGCCTCAGCCTCCCAAGTGGCTGGGACTAAAGCATGCACCACTACGCCTGGCTAATATTTTTTTATTTTTGTATTTTTGGTAGAGATGGGGTTTTGCCTGTTGCCCAGGCTGGTCTCAAAGTCCTGAGTTCAAGCAATCTGCCCACCTTGGCTTCCCAAAGGGATTTCAGGCACGAGAGCCACCGTCCACCGTGCCCAGCCTGCATTCCTCATTTTACAAATGCCCCTCCTTTGGAGCGTCCTTTTTTTTTTTTTTTTTTTAGATGGAGTCTCACTCTGTCACCCAGGCTGGAGTGCAATGACACAATCTTGGCTCACTGCAACCTCCGCCTCCTGGGTTCAAGTGATTCTCCTGCCTCAGCCTCCTAAATAGCTGGGATTACAAGTGTGCGCCACCATGCCTGGTTAATTTTTGTATTTTTAGTAGAGATGGGGTTTTACCCTGTTGGTCAGGCTGGTCTTGAACTCCTGACCTCATGATCCGCCCGCCTCGGCCTCCCAAAGAGTTGGGATTACAGGCGTGAGCCACTGTGCCCAGCCTTTTTTTTTTAAAAAAAAAAAAAACAGGGTCTCACTCTGTCACACAGGCTGGAGTGTAGTGGCATGATCTCTGCTCACTGCAACCTCCACCTCCTGGGTTCAAGTGAACTCCTGACCTGAATTGATCCACCTGCCTTGGCCTCCCAAAGTGGTGGGATTACAGGTGTGAGCCACCACACCCAACCTCCTCTGGAGCTTCTTGAGAACTTCTAGCACTTGCTTTCTCTCTTGGGCACCTCTCCCAAGACTAGTTGTGGGACAGGTTTTAATTTCCTCAACTTCCTGCCTGGCTTCCCCAAAGAATAAGCCTGCAGACTCTTTTAAATTATTTTATTGCTGATCACCACAAACGCCCAATTAGAGGATAATAAAAATGTCACAAGGCAGTTCTATTCTTGTGGACCCCGGTGGATCATTCCTGAATTTCTTGCCACCAGGCAGGACCCCGCAGTCTCCTAATGGATGTGGAATGCTAAACTAAGTTGCTTAGAAGGCTGGATCATTCAACTGGCCCTGCTGTTAGCTCTGAAGCTGCCTCCCAGTATTCTCCCTAAGATGTGCTCACCCACCCTGGAGAGGGCCAGCTACACACAGATGCCACCAAGCAAAGTGCAAATCATGAGATAGGATGTGCCCACCAGAAACTTCCTTTGGGTAATTCCAGAAACCCACAATCTCCAAGAGGAGATCTTTCCATTGGAAAAGAAGACCCTGGGGGTGGTCTTTCTTGTCTGCACAAGGGGACAGCCACAAAGAGTAGCAGTCTTGGGTGCCTGGGCAAGGAGGTGGGAATAGTCATTCTGGGGCCCTAGCCCCTGTCGGCTCTCAGGTCAGGAGATGGGTACCTGAAACCTCTTCATGTCCATGACTCGTTCCAGTGAGACAGCGCAGTCTGTCCAGTACAGAGTCCACTCTTCATCCTCCCCCACCTCCTTCAGGCCACACATTTGGGCTGCCCGACGCACTGCAGAGACAGGGAGATCAGTAGTGCCAGCATGGACACCAGCAACAAGCCCTGGAACTGTGTAGCTGGGTCAGGTAAGGTATACACCTGACCCGAGGGCAGGTTGAAGAGGGAGGTAGTTCTTGCCTCAGCCCTGTACTTTAGTTACCACATGACAATTTCAAGTTCTTAGGGGCTGTCAGGGCCCTTCCAAAATACCTAGCAGAGAAAACTAGAACCTGGTTTTTTGTTTGTTTGTTTGTTTGTTTTTTAGAGACGGAGTTTCGCCCTTGTGCTGGAGTGCAGTGGCACGGTCTTGGCTCACTGCAACCTCCGCCTCCCAGGTTCAAGAGATTCTCGTGCCTCAGCGTCCCCAATAGCTGGGACTACAGGCGCCCACCACCACACCTGGGTAATTTTTGTATTTTTAGTAGAGACGGGGTTTTACCATGTTGGCCAGTCTGGTCTCGAACTCCTGACCTCAGGAGATTCGCCTGCCTTGGCCTCCCAAAGTGTTGGGATTACAGGCATGAGCCACCGTGCCCAGCTGCTCCTGTCAGTCTTATCTCTCAATCAGGGATGTTTATGGCTTGGAGAGCTGCCTATAGGTGGGGTCACACTGGCACTTCACACTCCATACTTGTGTGGTTCCTTATAAAGATGCCAGAGGGAATATTAGGGGAAGGACCTAGCTGGAGATTGTTTTTTTTCTTAATCGTTGAAGTCCCTTCAAATCTTCCTTGAAAAAACTGTTTTAAGCTTGTCTCATCTCTGGTAAAATCTGGGAAGGGTCTGGCATGGTGGCTCCTGCCTGTTATCCTAGGCCTTTGAGAAGCTGAAGTGGGAGGATCACTTGAGCCCAGGAGTTCAAGACCAGCCTGGGCAACATAGCAAGACTCTGTCTCTACAAAACATTTAAGAATTAGCTGGGCAGGCTGGGCATGGTGGCTCATGCCTGTAATCCCAGCACTTTGGGAGGCTGAGGTGGGTGGATCACCTGAGGTCAGGAGTTCAAGACCAGCCTGGCCAACATGGAGAAACTCTGTCTACTAAAAGTACAAAATTAGCCAGATGTGGTGGCACATGCCTGTAATCCCAGCTATTTGGGAGGCTGAGGCAGGAGAATCGCTTGAACCTGGGTGGTGGAGGTTGCAGTGAGTCGAGATCACGCCATTGCATTCCAGCCTGGGCAACAAGAGCAAAACTCGGTCTCAAAAAAAAAAAAAGAATTAGGTGAGCATAGTGGTGCAGGCCTGTAGTCCCAGCTACTGGGAAGCTCAGATAGGAAGACGGCTTGAGCTCGGGAGTTCAAGGCTGCATTAAGCTATGATTGCAATACTGCACTCCAGCCTGGATGACAAAGCGAGACTCTGTCTCAAAAATAAATAAATAAAATCTGGGAAGGGTGGGGCAGTAGTGGCTCTTGGACTTTTTTTTTTTTTTTTCTTGTTTACTGTGAGGATACCCTCCCTAACACTGAGACTACCTGGAATGGCAATGTCTCAGCTTCCAGTGTCTGAGGCAGAGGACACCTAGGAAGCTCAGTACAGGTTAGAGGCAAGCCCGCCAGGCCCCAGGGGCTGGAAGCCTGATCGGGGGTCCATTCCAGAGGAAGAACAGCAGCTGTAGGCACCATGTTATGCACCACAGTGTGAGCGACGGGCTGGGTGCTTACCACTCTCATACTTGCAGTTGGTCAGGTTGATGGCCAGTGATCTGGAATGGAGGAATAGCATAAATCAGGAAGAGTGGGAGGGAAGGACAGGTACTCAGATGAAAAGACATCCAACAAATTCACAACACAATTCCTTTTCTCTAGAAGCCACTTAAAAGACAGACCAGGATGGGCTGGGCGCGGTGGCTCATGCCTGTAATCCCAGCACTTTGGGAGGCCGAGGCGGGTGGATCACAAGGTCAGGAGATAGAGACCATCCTGGCTAACACAATGAAACCCTGTCTCTACTAAAAATACAAAAAAAAAAAAAAAAATTTGCCATGCGTGGTGGCAGGTGCCTGTAGTCCCAGCTACTCGGGAGGCTGAGGCAGGAGAATGGCCTGAACCCGGGAGGCGGAGCTTGCCGTGAGCCGAGATCACGCCACTGTACTCCAGCCTGGGCGACAGAGCGAGACTCTGTCTCAAAAAAAAAAAAAAAAAGACAGACCAGGATGACATAAACAGGCTGGGATTCCAAAATGAGCCAGCCTAAATGGTTCTGAATTTTGTTTCTGTTGTATCAAAGGGTTAATGACACTCCAGCATTTCCTGTCCTCTTTTGTAGGCTAAAGGGAAGATCTGAGATCCCAGCTCCTCCAGATGTTGAAGGGAGGCCAATGGGTGACTCCCTGGAGCTGGGCAGTTGAGGGGATCTAGGGAATAGTTACCTGCGTTTCCGCCTTCTCTTCCTCCTCCCAGCTTCTAAGTCGCCTGTGTCAACTGGGGCTATGACTTTCTTCGGAATTTTTGTGGCCATAATGGGTGAGGGAACCCCATTTTTTAATGCCTTATAGTCAGCTTTTAAGAGAGCCTGCTGTGAAGAGTTAGAGGGGTTGGTAACTCCCTCTTTAACACACTTCTCAGATTCCTTTTCCTCAACATAGTCTTCCTCTGATTCCATGGTCCTACAGGTACTCGGCTCCATTCTCTCAGATTCTGAGGGGTTGCGGGGTGGGAATGAAGTGTATATCAGACCTCAGACCTCCCTCAGGCCCTAGAAGGCCTGAAGGAATCCACCAGAACGACCTTCATGCTGTTATAAGGGAAAGTTGCTGCCCCTTCAGGACAAAACTGTTTCACTGAGGAATGGGATGTGTCCAGGTAGGTGGAGGTGCATGGGGGTGGAAGACACCAGTGAGATGTGGATTCCCTGATGACAAGCCCCAATCATCCAGGTTCACACTGGATCATACAACGCACAGGGGTGCCTTCAGGAGTTGGACACAGATGGTATGGGCCATGACCATGGCTCTTTTGTTCCTAATTGGGAAAGAGGATGGCTGTGAGTGCTGGGGGGACCTTCGCTTTAAAATACAGCTGAATCGGCCCAGCACGTTGGGAGGCTGAGGCGGGCAGATCACTTGAGGTCTGGAGTTGGAGAGCAGCCTGGCTAGCACGGTGAAATCCCGTCTCTCCTAAAAATACAAAAATTAGCTGGGTGTGCTGGTGCGTTGCCTGTAATCCCAGCTACTCGGGAGGCTGAGGGAGGAGAATCACTTGAACCTGGGAGGTGGAGGTTGCAGTGAGCCGAGATCACACCACTGCACTCCAGCCTGGGCGACAGAGCAAGAGTCTGTCTCTAAATAAATAAATAAATAAATAAATAAAATAAAATACAGCTGAAGACCAAAAGCCCCCTACGCTGGCCCTTTCCCTCTCCCAGGACTCATTTTCTGCACGTGTACACACTAGGGACAGGCACCCGATGGCTAAGACCCTTTGGGCTGTGACGGTGGAGACTGCCCACCCGTGGTTACGAGGAGAGCTGAGGGGCTGCTGGGTCCGCCCCTAGCCGCCTGGGGATGGACTCAGCTGGCCGCTCATGTCCCCTCTTCCCCCGGCTCCAGGTCTCCCTGGGCGTTTCTGGGCGTCCGGAACCGCCTCCTCGTTTCACAGGACTGGCTGTCCCCACGATCGCGAGGGGGAAGCTGCTCCCCCGCAGGGGTTCACTCCTAGCTCCCGGTGGCCGTGGCTGCGGCTGCCGGGGCAGCGCTTCCTCTAGCAAGCCCGTGGCCGCCGCCGTTGCCATGGACACGAGGGCAGTTCCCATTGGAGAAGCGTCCTGGGGGCGGGGCTTTCCCGCAGCCACACCCACTTGGGCGCGGGCCGAGGCTACCTTGGGTGGGGGAGACAGCGTTTGCCCTTTGGAGCTGGCCGGCCTCGACGCCAGATTCTTCCGGTGTATCATGGGACTTGCAGCCCTCCCGCTTCGAAGCCAGTTCTCGCCGCACTCCCATCTTTCCCTAAACCCCGGGCCAAGGAATTTGGCCAAGCATATAATGAGGACAAATAGCTGTTTGCCTCTCCTCAATTCTCCCTTTTTTTTTTTTTTTTTTTTTTTGAGACGGGGTCTTGCTGTGTCGCCCAGGCTGGAGTGCAGTGGAATGCACCATCATAGCTCACTGCAGCCTGGACCTCCTGGGCTCAAGCAATCCTCCTGCCTCAGCCTCCCCAGTAGCTGTGACTACAGGAGCGTGCCACCACGCCGGGCTCAATTCTTTAGTAACTCTAAGTTTAGCTAGCAAAGCCTATGCATTCAAGAGTGACAGCCATGGTAAGGCCACGTGCCTTTCAAGGCTTTGCCTCTGGTGGACTGAGACAGCTCCATTAAGGAATAACCAAACCGCCTTATCACAGTGCTCCTTCACTGTCACCTTCTCTTCCTGACATCCACCCACTTTGATTTCTGCTCACCACCTCCACCCAACTCAGCTCAACTTGTCACCCTAAAATTATACTGTGTGGCTAAATCTAGAGAACACTTAAAATGTTTCCATCCTTTTAAAAAGACATGGACTTTTTTTTTTTTTTTTTTTTTTTTTTTTTTTTTTTTTTTTGAGACAGGGTCTTGCTTTGTAGCCCAGGCTGGATTGCAGTGGTGTGATCGCAGCTCACTGCAACTTTACTTAGCTTCCCAGGCTCAAGCAATCCTCCCACTTCAGCGTCCCAAGTAGCTGGGGCTACAGGTGCGCACCACCATGCCTGGCTAATTTTTGTATTTTTTGTAGAGATGGGGTTTTGCTGTGTTGGCCAGGCTGATCTTGAACTCCTGACCTCAAGTGACCTGCCCACCTTGGCTTCCCAAAGTGGTGGGATTACAGGCATGAACCACTGAACTCGGCCTAAAAAAGGCATGGACATTCTCTAATTCATAGACTGTTTTTGTTGTTGTTAATTGTCTATAAAGATAAGCTATTTCTTTGCCCACATATTCATGTTTCATAGTTCAGGAACATAGGTTAGTGATAAACTTCTATGTAATGCAACCCAAAGAAACTGTTTATACCAAAATCACTTTGCACTTTGAAAGATACCAGCCTTCCTCATCTCCTCAAAATCTTTCATAGAATCAGCAAGGCTAGGTGGCAGGCCCTGTAGTCCCAGCTACTAGGAAGACTGAGGTGTGAGGATCTCTTGAGCATGGGAGTTAAGAGGATGCCGTGAGCTATGATTATGCCACTGCACTTCAGCTTGGGTGACAGAGTGAGAACTCGTATTTAAAAAAACAAATATCTGGCCGGGTGTGATGGCTCACGCCTGTAATCCCAGCACTTTGGGAGGCCAAGGTGGGCGGATCACCAGGTCACGAGATCAAGACCATCCTGGCTAACACGGTGAAACCCCCTCTCTACTAAAAATAAAAAAATAAAAAAATAAAAATTAGCTGGGCATGGTGGCGGGCGCCTGTAGTCCCAGCTACTTGGAAGGCTGAGGCAGGAGAATGGTGTGAATCCGGAGCTTGCAGTGAACGGAGATCGCGCCACTGCACTCCAGCCTGGGCGACAGAGGGAGTCTCTGTCTCAAAAAAAAAAAGCAAACAAAAAAATCTTTGATGGAATTATAATTTCTCTAGAAATCTGCATATGCCTTCTTTCCCGGTTCAGCCACAGCAAATGTATAGAGTGCTACAACCCTCTATACAGGGATACAGCAATGTGAAACCAGAGGTCATGCATCTGAGGTTTCATCAAAACACTGGAAGCCATGGTAGTTATTGTCCTTGATAGGTATGTCAACCTCAACACCAATGTCCTTCCTGGCTGATGGAGAAATGGGCTGCCCGATTCACAGACTTCTTGATCTTTCCTCAGCATATGATACTCTCATATGAAACTCTCCTCCTGGCTAGGAGTGGCAGCCTACATCGCTAATCCCAGCACCTTGGGAAGCTGAGGCAGGAGGATTACTGGAGGCCAGGAGTTTGAGACCAGGCTGGGCAATACAGCGAGACTCTCTCTCTTAAAAAAAAAAAAAAAAGAAAAAAGAAAAGAAAAGAAAAAAAAGGCCAGTGTGGTGACTCATGGCTGTAATCCCAGCACTTTGGGAGGCTGAGGCAGGTGGATCACGAGGTCAGGAGTTCGAGACCAGCCTGGCCAATATGGTGAAACCCTGTCTCTACTAAAAATACAAAAATTAGCTGGGCATGGTGGCGCACGCCTGTAGTCTCAGCTATTCAGGAGGCCTAGGCAGGAGAATTGCTTGAATCCAGGACGCAGAGGTTGCAGTGAGCCAAGATCGTGCCACTGCACTCCAGCCTGGATGACACAGTGAGACTCCGTCTCAAAAGAAAAAAAAAAAAGGAAAGAAAGAAATGGTCCTCCTGGAAATGTTCTGCAGTCCCTTGACTTCCAGGACACTCATTGCATCAACAAACAATTTAGTGTTCTAGGGACTATTCTAGGACCTCGACCACCATTTCTTGCCTGAATTGCCACAATTCAGCAATTTTTTTTTTTTTTTTTTTTTTTTTTTTTTTTTTTTTTTTTTTGAGACAGAGTCTCACTCTGTTGCCCAGGCTGGAGTGCAATGGCTCAATCTCGGGTCACTGCACCCTCTGCCTCCCGGGTTCAAGTGATTCTCCTGCGTCAGCCTCCTGAGTAGCTGGGATTACAGGCATCTGCCACCACACGGGGCTAATTTTTGTATTTTCAGAGAGATGGGGTTTCACCATGTTGGTCAGGCTGGTCTCAAACTCTTGACCTCAGGTGATCCACCTGCTTGGGTCTCCCAAAGTGCTGCTGGGATTACAGGCGTGAGCCACTACACCTGGCCTCAGCAGTCTGTTAACTGGATTCCCTGATTCTATTCTTCACTCCATCCATCCTCCCCATTACAGCGTAAGTATTCTTCCTCAAATGCAAAGCTGTTACTCAAATGCAAAGCTGTTACCCCACATTAAGTATTCTTCAAGGTTTCCCATTAGATCAAGTCTAAACCCTCTTAGTACATGAGGCCCTGCATGAAGAGTTCTGATTATCGTTTTTTGTTTTGTATTTTTTTTTTGAGATGGAGTCTCGCTCTGTCACCCAGGCTGGAGTGCAATGGCACGATCTTGGCTCACTGCAACCTCTGCCTCCTGGGTTGAAGCGATTCTTCCGCCTCAGCCTCCTGAGTAGCTAGGATTACAGGCGCATGCCACCATGCCCGGTTAATTTTTGTATTTTTGTAGAGACTGGGTTTCACCATGTTGGTTAGGCTGGTCTTGAATTCCTGACCTCCGGTGATCTGCCCGCCTCGGCCTCCCAAAGTGCTGGGATTACAGGAGTGTGCCACCGTGCCCGGCCTCTGCATGAAGAGTTAAGCAAAAACGTGGGGAGGTCCTGGGCTGGGTCAGCACTTCCTACCATACTCAAAGCCCAGGGCTCGGAGTACAAAGGGCCCCTACGTGTTTCCTACTCAGTAGAAAAAGCTGCAGTCCAAATGCTCTTCTTGAAGATTCACAAAGCATATAAATAGCTGAGAAATACCACCAGAAAGAAAACCCATTTTACTTTCCCCTTTTTATATGGAGAAACATATTTGAGTCAGGGAAGGCTTTCCTCTAAACATCAGTCCTACGGAGAAACTGGGAAAATCCTGATATTTGGCTTATCACTTTGAACGCAAAATCCACTTTGCTGTAATGGTCATCCGAACTCCCTTCAGAGAGCAAGCAAGCAAAATTAAGTGTGATACTGGAGCTTATGCATGCAAAAGCTTGCAAAAAGTATTAAGGAAAAATTACTGCAGTTTACCAAAAATATGAGGGTGGTCAACATTTTCTGATAGAATGGTAAACTGTTTTTTTCTTTTTTTTTTTTTTTGAGACAAAGTCTCTCTCTGCCGCCCAGGCTGGAGTGCAGTGGCGCGATCTCGGCTCACTGCCACCTCCGCCTCCCAGGTCCAAGCGATTCTCCTGCCTCAGCCTCCTGAGTAGCTGGGACTATAGATGTGCACCCACACCCAGCTAATTTTTGTGTTTTTAGTAGAGACGGGGTTTCACCATGTTGGCCAGGCTGGTCTTGAACTCCTGACCTTGTGATCTGCCTGCTTCAGCCTCCCAAAGTGCTGGGATTACAGGCGTGAGCCACCGCACCTGGCCTAAACTGTTTTTCTTATAAAATGGGCTATGGACACATATTCTGCTTTATCACAGGGAGACTTTGTAACATCATTTGGGATGTAAAACCTCTAATGAAAACTGGAAACTAAGGCTTTATACAGGCCTAGGTATAGGGAGCCAACGACCTGAAGGCCTAAGCCAGGGCTAGGACCCACAGTTTGGGAGGCAGAGAAATCAAAACCCCTCCTGGGTGAGCCCACTCAGACAGCAGCCAGAACCCACCTGTGTGAGCCCCCTTTCACCCTTACGCTGTGAACAGGGACTCTCATTCCTTCAGGATGTTTGATGAAGGAGTGGTGGCGGTGATAATCTCTGTTGAGAGCTGGACCCAAGACTTTATGTATTTATTTATTTTGAGACTGAGTCTCGCACTATCGCCCAGGCTGGAGTACAGTCGTGCAATCTCAGCTCACTGCAACCTCCGCCTCCTGGGTTCAAGTGATTCTCCTGCCTCAGCCTCCCAAGTAGATGGGATTACAGGTGGCCGCCACAACGCCTAATTTTTGTATTTTTAGTAGAGATGGGGTTTCACCATGTTGGCCAGGCTGGTCTCGAACTCCTGACAAGTGATTTGCCTGCCTCGGCTTCCCAAAGTGCTAGGATTAAAGGTGTGAGCCAACGTGCCCAGCCAACCCAAGACTTCTTTTACTTTTGCTGTATAACATTCAAGGGAGCTAAAAGGAAAATGAGATTTCACACCCACATACTCTCTTAGAATAGTGTCTACTGACTAGTTCCTCTGGAACCAGTGTGAAATGTCTGGAGAAACAGGACAGAACAAAGCAATGAGATAAAAAAAAATTTCCCACATTGACTCAGATGCAGACGGAGGAACAACGACTTAGCTTTGGATTTTGTGTCTACATCAAGAGGAGCTTCTAAAGTGCTTGGGAAAGACCCCAAGAGGGATGGCTGAGGCTCAGGGAGGGCAAACTGTTAAGGACAGTGCTACCCACCATGGGAACCACTGACTGGAGAGGCGGTCACAAGCACACATTGTCCCAGCTCATCTTCTGGTACCTGCCTGTGCTGCAGTCCCGACTCCAGCTGCCTGACCTTGAACAAAGTACAAACTGTCAGTCTCCATCCCGTTTTGAATGGGGGTATTAAGAAGACTCAGGCTGAATTGCTTGAACCCAGGAGGCAGAGACGCAGTGAGCCGAGATCACACCACTGCACTCCAGCCTGGGCAACAGAGTGAAACTCTGATTCAAGAAAAAAAAAAAAAAACTCAGGCCAGGTGCAGTGGCTCATGCCTATAATCTCAGCACTTTGGGAGGCTGAGGTGGGAGGATCTTGAGGCCAGGAGTTCGAGACCAGCCTGGGCAACTTGGCAAGATGCTATCTCTCCAAAAAAATAGCCGGGTGTGGTGGCGCATGCCTGTGGTCCCAGCTACTAGGGAGGCTGAGATGGGAGTATTGTTTGAGCCCAGGAGGTTGAAGCTTGCAGTTAGCTGTCTTCATACCACTGCACTCCAGCCTGGGTGACAGTGACCCTGTGTCAAAAAAAAAAAAAAAAAAAAAAAAAAAAAACCTGCACCAAGGTGTGGTGGCATCTTAGCACTCTGGGAGGCCGAGGTGGGAGGATTTCTTAAGGCCAGGAGTTTGACAGCAACCCGGGCAACATAGCAAGACCCTATCTCTACAAAAAATTTAAAAATTAGCCAGGTGTGATGGTGCACACCTATCGTCCCAGCTACTCAGGGGGCTGAGGTGGGAGGGTGGCTTGAGACCAAGAGTTTGGGTCTGCAGTGAGCTGTGATTGCACCACTGCACCCCAGCCTTACAAAAAAACAAAACAAAAAAAGACGTGCACCCGGAAAGTTGTGACAACACTGTGTTTTTACATCAGATGATGTCAGTGAAGAGCATTCAACTTGGTGTTGGGGGCTAGAGGAAAGCTCAAGGTGGCAGGGAAAGTGAAGGAGTGGGGCATTTGGGTGGAGCAGGGCTAAATGGAAAGAAGGGACAAAGCAATAAAAATAAGTGGTGAGCAAAGGGGAATAAACAGGCTGAGAACAGAAGTGGCAGCTCAATACTGGAGGCACAGGCACTATTACCGTGCTAACATTTGATATCAAAGGAAGACAAAATCTAAATGTAAAGTCAGGAGTGTGTAACTGTCACACACACTCCTTTTTAACACCCCTGGGGCTTGAACAAGAACGGGGAGAGGTAGCAGATACATTCATGATGTCTTACTCAGTAGAATTATTCCAGATTTTCTCCCCTTTAAAGAGACCACTATCAGCTCCCCTTTAAAGAGACCATTATCTTTCTCCCCTTTAAGAGATCATTATCAGCTTTCTTCATCCTTCTTCTTAGGCTGAGACAGGTGAGAAGGCAGCCATGAAAATAAATGTCCAAAGGACTATGATGGACAGTGCTCTGGAAAGGGACTCATCAGGTAGAAAATGAATACATCCTGGCTGGGTGTGGTGGCTCACGCCTGTAATCCCAGCACTTTGGGAGGCCGAGGCGGGCGGATCACCTAAAGTCAGGAGTTCAAGACCAGCCTAGCCAATGTGGTGAAACCCCTTCTCTTTTAAAAATACAAAAAAATTAGCCGGGTTTGGTGGCAGGAGCCTGTATAGTCCCAGCTACTCGGGAGGCTGAGCCAGGAGGATCACTCGAACCCTAGAGGTGGAGGTTGCAGTGAGCCGAGATTGTACCAGTGCACCCCAACCTAGGTGACAGAGCGAGACTATCTCAAAAAAAAAAAAAAAAAAAAAAAAAAAAAAAGAAACAGAAAAGAATCCAGGGGCTCACTCCTGTCATCTCAGTACTTTGGGAGGCCGAGGTGGGAGGACTGCTTCAGCCCAAGAGTTCAAGACCAGCCTGGGCAACATGGTGAAACGCTGTCTATATAAAAAAATACAAAATCACCTAATCGTTAAAAAAAAAAAAAAAAAAAAAAAAAGCCAGGTGTGTGGTGGTGCACGCCTATAGTCTCAGCTACTCAAGAGGCTGAGGTGGGAGGATCACTTCAGCCCCAGAGGTGGAGGCTACAGTGAGCCAGGATCATACCACTACACTCTAGCCTGGGGACAGAGTGAGACCCTATCTCAAAAGAAAAGAAAAAAAGAACATAAATACATCCAGAAGTATTATTGCTCTTCCTGGGACATCAGGGCCACCAGTGCTGCCTGTACGTCTTCTGCCTGGGATGGGGGCAGCCGACAGTCCTGAATGAGGGCCACAGCAGCTGCCTCTGTCAGGCTGCTGAAGTCCTGGGATGTTTTGACAGGGAGGTGCCCAGCCAGCTCACAGAGGGCAACATTGAAAGCTTCACCGTCCTTTATCCCAAAGCTGGACTTCCGGGCCCACAGAATTACTCGGACCCCTGTGAGGGCTGAGGAAGGTGATGTCTTTCCCGGCGGAGCTCCCCGGGTGACAAACAAGTTATGAGCAATCTCATGGTCAGTCAGATAATCAGTGGCCCGACATACCCTGCTTATCAAGGACTCCAAGTCAGGCCCTGGCCCACGAGTGTAAAAGAGGAAGCCAGGAGCTGGGAGGTCCTGGAGCAGATGCAAATGGCCTCCAGGGTCCAGGGGCTCGCTTGGCGCCTGCTCCACGGGCAGTCTGTGGGCCAGGTAATAGCCATGCAGGTGGAGGTGGTTCACCGAGGCCAAGCCTCCCAGGCTGTTGAAGCCGACACGGAAGCCCGGGTGTAAGCTCAGCAGCACAGCCTCAATCCCTGCCCTCAGTGCACCCGGCAGCAGGCGCTGGGGGAGCTGGCGGGCAGGCTCAGGCACCAGCAGCACGTGGCCCCACTCCAGGGGGCTGACGTTGATCACCACCAGGATGTCTTCTTGCAGCAGAGTCCCAGGGAGATCAGGCTCCCGGTGCAAACGGAAGAGGACTTCTCCGGGCCGGATCTTGTTGAAGTTGAACTGTACAGGGTCAAATGCCTGCCTCACACTCTTGATGGTCTGCGGGGGCCTCCTCTGCACACCACGCTCCACATTCAGCTGAGCCACGAAACCCACAGCACCAGGGAGGATTTGGGTCTGTAGCTCCCGTAGACGGTAGCGAAACAGCCCCAGCTCCACCCGCTGCTTCCAGGCAGAGCAGAGTGCAGCATCAAAGGGAGATTGTGGCAGAGCATCTGGGATGCCAGGTGCATTCCTTGGCCACTGAATCCCTTCTGCCATGAGATCCTTCTGCCCATAAACAAAGTCAGGAATGGTTTGCCTGCCCCAGTCCTCATTGTTGGGAGGCAGCAAATAGGAAGTTTCGTTTGAATCATGTGGAAGAGCCATAGAGCTGACCTGAAATAGTCATAAAAGATGAAAACACATGATGGTAACCCACCTCCAGAGATTGTCATTGTATTTATTTATTTATTTTTTTTTTTGAGATGGAGTCTCACTCTGTCACCCAGGCTGGAGTGCAGTGGCAGTGATCTTGGTTCACTGTAACCTCCGCCTCCTGGGTTCAAGCGGTTCTCCCGCCTCAGCCTCCTGGGCAGCTGGGGTTACAGGCAGGCACCACCATGCCCGGGTAATTTTTGTATTTTTAGTAGAGATGGTGTTTCACCATGTTGGCCAGGCTGGTCTTGAACTCCTGACATCGGGTGATCCCTTTGCCTTGGCCTCCCAAAGTGCTGGGATTACAGGCATGAACCAACATGCACAGCTTATTTATTTATTTTTATTTTTTTGAGACAGAGTCTCACTCTGTTGCCCAGGCTAGAGGGCAGTGGCGCGATCTTGGCTCACTGCAACCTCCACCTCCTGGGTTCAAGTGATTCTCATGCCTCAGCCTCCCAAGCAGCTGGAATTACAGGCACCCGCCACCAGGCCCGGCTAATTTTTGTATTTTTAGTAGAGGCAGGGTTTCACCACATTGGCCAGGCCGGTCTTGAACTCCTGACCTCCGGTGACCCTCCCCTCTCGGCTTCCCAAAGTGCTGGGATTACAGGCCTGAGCCACTGCACCTGGCCTATTTATTTATTTATCACTCTGTCACCCAGGCTGGAGTGCAATGGCGCTATCTTGGCTCACTGCAACCTCTACCTCCCAGGTTCAAGCGATTCTCTGGCCTCAGCCTCCCAAGTAGCTGGGATTATAGGAATGTGCCACCACAGCCAGCTAATTTTGTATTTTTGGTAGAGACAGGGTTTCACCATGTTGGTCTGGCTGGTCTTGAACTCCTGACCTCAGGTGATCCACCCACCTCGGCTTCCCAAAGTGCTGGGATTACAGGTGTGAGCCACTGCGCCCAGCCACGGCCTATTTTATTTTGAAACAGGTTCTCACTCTGTCACCCAGGCAGGAGTGCAGTGGTGCATACATGTCTCCCTGAAGCCTTGACCTCCCAGGCTCAAGGGATTCTTTCACCTCAGCATCCCAAGTATCTGGAACTACAGGCATGTGCCACCAGGCACTGCCGAGATCGCACCATTGCAGTCCAGCCTGGACAATAAGAGTGAAACTCTGTCTCAAAAAAATAGATAGATAGATAGATATGGTTTGGCTATGTCTCCACCCAAATTTCATCTTGTGGTTCCTATAATCCCCACTTGTTGTGGGAGGGGCCCGGTGGAAAGTAAATGAATCATGGGGGCGGTCACCTCCATGCTGTTCTCGTGATAGTGAGTTCTCCTGAGATCTGATGGTTTTATAAGAGGCTTTACCTCCCTCTTTGCTCTGCACATCTCCCTGCTGCTGCCATGTGAAGAAGGATGTGTTTGCTTCCCCTTCTGTCATGATTGTAAGTTTCCTGAGGCCTGTCCACCCTTGCAGAACTGTGAGTCAATAAAACCTCTTTCCTTTATAAATTACCCAGTCTTGGGTATTTCTTCACAGCAGTGTGAGAACAGACTAATACACACACACACACACACACACACACACACACACATTTTATGTCTCATATAGATCAACTATTTTTTCTTTCTAAAAATTATATATATCGAGTAAATTTTTTTAATGGAGAAACAATAAAGATAAAATATAACCCTTTGTTATAATGCCTAAGGAAAAATCACAATTTATGTTTAGCTTCATTTTCATACATAGATGGATCTTGACTTTTTAACCAATCTTCAACTGTTTATATAGGTTGTAGCTAGTTTCATTCTATTATACACAATGTGGCAATGAACATCCTATACACTCACACACTCATCATTGAACATGTCATGTTTTTATTTTCCTTTAAAATAAAATCCTGGTATACCACTGGGTCAGAGTAGGTCCATGGCTCAGGTTTTGGTTTTATTTTGTTTTGTTTTGTTTTTGGTAGAGACAGAGCCTTGCTATGCTGTTCAGGTGGTCTCAAATTCCCATGGCTCAGATTTTTTATACACACCATCAAACTGCCCTCCAGAAAATCATACCTGAGTTCCAGTGCATGAGAGTGCTCAGGGTTTCAAAGATGACCACTTCTTTTGTGGGAAAAGCTTTTCCATGTTCCATAGTGATTCCAATTGGTCATGCATAGAAACATTTGGGTGAGGATGGCACTGATGTGTGGGTAAGTGTCCAGGGCCAACCTTTCAAGGGGGAAATTAGTGCCTGTCTTCATCTTCCCCTGGCTGCCTGGAGCCCTGGACCCAGCACTGTCAGGGAGAGGGGTCTGCCACTGGCCCAGATAGGATGTCAAAAGGAGGCATTACCTTAGTAGAGTCACTTCAGTCCAAGTTTGGGTTCCTTCAGCTCTGCTGCTCCAGAAACTTCATGTTAATAAAACAGAAAGGAAACAAAACATATAAAAAATTACATATCAAAAGTCAAGCTAAGTTTAATGAGTATTGAGGCTTAGTTTGCAAGATGAAAACGTCCTGGAGATTTGCCGCACAACATCGTGAATGTGCTTAACACGACTATACACTTAGAAATGGTTCAGATGGTCAATTTTTTTTTTAAAGACAGAATCTCACTCTGTCAGCCAGGCTGCAGTGCAGTGGCACGATCTTGGCTCACTGCAACCTCCACCACCCAGGTTCAAGTGATTTTCATGCCTCAGCCTCCTGAGTAGCTGGGACTACAGGTGTGTGTCACCACGCCCGGCTAATGTTTGTATTTTTAGGAAAGACCAGGTTTCACCATGTTGGCCAGGCTGGTCTCGAACTCCTGACCTCAGGTGATCCACCTGCGTTGGCCTCCCAAAGTGCTGGGATTACAGGCGTGAGCCACCGCACCTGGCCAAAAATGTTTAAAAGTGAAGCTAATCCTTTGAGCTGGAGCTGCAAGGTAAAAGACAACAACAACAAAAAAGTGAAGCTAAGCATAATTTTGATGATCAAATGTAGTATCTTATTCTCACCTTACTGCAATGTCTGCCTCCCAGACTCAAGCAATCCATCCACCTCAGCCTCCCAAGTAGCTGGGACCACAGGCACTTGCACCAGGCCTGACTAATGTAGTATCTTATTCTAATAAAAGAGAATCTTATCTGACAGGCGAAAAAATTTAAAATGAGATAATAAAAATAATACAAAACCAAAAAAAGGAGAAAAAAAAGAGATAATCTTAGACATTTTTTCAAATAAGATATAAAGATGGCCAACAAGCACATTTGGGATGTTTAACGTCATTAATCAATAAGAAAAGGCAAATCAAAATCACAATGAGGGGCTGGGTGCGGTGGCTCACACCTGTAATCCCTGGACCAGCACATTGGGAGGCTGACGCAGGTGAATCACGAGGTCAAGATACCGAGACCATCCTGGCCAACATGGTGAAACCCTGTGTCTACTAAAAATACAAAAATTAGCTGGGCGTGGTGGTGGGCACACACCTGTAGTCCCAGCTACTTGGGAGGCTGAGGCAGGAGAATCACTTGAACCTGGGAGGTGGAGGTTGTGGTGAACTGAGGTGGTGCCACTGCATTCCAGCCTGGTGACAGAGCAAGACTCCATCTCAAAAAAAAAAAAAAAAAGGGAAAAAAAGAAAATTACAATAAAGTCCGGGCACGGTGGCTCACGCCTGTAATCCCAGCACTCTGGGGGGCCAAGGTGGGTGGATCACGAGGTCAGGAGTTCGAGACCAGCCTGGCCAATATGGTGAAACCCTGTCTCTACTAAAAATACAAAAAAATTAGCCAGGTGTGGTAGTGGGCGTCTGTAATCTCAGCTACTCGGGAGGCTAAGGCAGGAGAATCGCTTGAATCTGGGAGGCAGAGGTTGCAGTGAGCTAAGATCGCACCACTGCACTCCAGCCTGGTGACAGAGTGAGACTCTGTCTCAAAAAAATAAATAAAATAAAAAATAAAAGTATATCAGCAGCTCGGTTTTATCACTGTACCAAGAGTTGATCAGGTACAGGAGGGACAATATGCTAACCAGATTCACCGAGGACTACCAAATGATTCAGACTGCCCATTTAATAATCTACCATGAGAGGCCGGGCGTGGTGGCTCAGCACTTTGGGAGGCTGAGGGAGGCGGATCAAGAGATCAGGAGATCGAGACCATCCTGGCCGACATGGTGAAACCCCGTCTCTACTAAAAAAAAATACAAAAATTAGCTGGGCGTGGTGGTGCACTCCTGTAATCCCAGCTACTCAGGAGGCTGAGGCATGAGAATCAGGTGAACCTGGGAGGCAGAGGTTGCAGTAAGCCAAGATCATACCACTGTACTCCAGCCTGGTGACAGAGTGAGACTCCATCTCACAAATAAAAATAATTTACAATGAGAAATATGCCAAATGGCACAAAAGGTTCTTGCTGGCTGGTCAGTGTACAAAATGAATCAGGAAGCAAAATGAAAACCAAAGGTTGTTCCATGAAGGGTTCAGAGCCAAGTGAAGTGACTGAGAGATCTAGATCACAGCTGGTCACCAGGCACAAAGCTGACTCTCATGTCTTCACTATAAAGAGATACTTATGGCTGGGTGCAGTGGCGCACGCCTGTAATCCTAGCACTTTGGGAGGCCAAGACAGGCGATCACCTGAGGTTGGGAGTTCGAGACAAGCCTGACCAACATGGAGAAACCCCGTCTCTACTAAAAATACAAAACTAGCTGGGTGTGGTGGCACATGCCTGTAATCCGAGCTATTCAGGAGGCTGAGGCAGGAGAACTGCTTGAACTCAGGAGGCGGAGGTTGCGGTGAGCTGAGATCATGCCATTGCACTCCAGCCTGGGCAACAGGAGTGAAACTCTGTCTCAAAAAAAAAGAAGACAGATACTTATTACCATGCAGTCCAGGTATTCGCCTTGGCTTGTAAGAGGCAAACAAGGTCTATTTAGTACAGGAGACATAATGACAGCTTCTTGCTTTTTGCCTAAGCTTTTACTAACAGAAGACTAACTCTTTCTCGGACAGAAAGAGCCTGCTATTAAGAGAAAAATGATCGGCCGGGCACGGTGGGTCACGCCTGTAATCCCAGCACTTTGAGAGGCCGAGGTGGGCGAATCACGAGGTCAGGAGATCCAGACCATCCTGGCTAACAGGGTGAAACCCCGTCTCTACCAAAAATACAAAAAAATTAGCCGGGTGTGGTGGCGGGTGCCTGTAGTCCCAGCTGCTGGGGAGGCTAAGGTAGAAGAATGGCGTGAACCCAGGAGGCGGAGCTTGCAGTGAGCCAAGATCATGCCACTGCACTCCAGCCTAGGCGACACAGCGAGACTCTGTCTCAAAAAAAAAGAGAAAAATGATCAGGTTGGGATGGGCCTATACCCTAGTTATTTTTTTTTATTTTTATTTTTTGAGACAGAGTCTCACTCTGTTGCCCAGGCTGGACTGCAGTGGCACAATCTCCGCTCACTGCAACCTCCAGCTCCCAGGTTTAACCATGTCTGGCTAATTTTTGTATTTTTAGTAGAGATGGGGTTTTGCCATGTTGGCCATGCTGGTCTTGAACTCCTGGCCTCAAATGATCCGCCTGCTTCAGCCTCCCAAAGTGCTGAGATTACAGGCATGAGCCACCGCGCCTGGCCTTGAATATTTCTACAATGATGGAATGTACCTGTTAATACAGTGTGTCTTATCAAACACATGCTGCCAAGGAGAGCACTGGGTATTCTTCCAGTGTAAAGTAGATTCCTAGGCAGTCTAGGGAGTCAGGAAAGGCTTCCCTGAGGATGAGATGGAAGAGGGACTGAGGGCCCAAAGTGGCTGAAAGACAGAGAGCCAATAGGAGGAAGTCCAGTTACAGAGGGCCAGGATTTGGGTTTTTAACCATTTAATGGTTATAAACTGAGACTAACATACTCAGATTTAGACTTTACAAAGATCAGCAAGTATAATGGATTGGAAGGATCAAGAATTAATCCCAGCCTGACCAACACAACCTCCACTTCCTCCTCCCAGCAGTTTGGAATCCTTACCTTTTGCAATAGTATACGTTCATTCATTTATTATGCATTCGATAATATTTACTGAGAGCCTACTATGTGCCAAACATTATCCTAGAGGTTAAGAGGGGACAAGAGCAAAGGGTCAGCAGTCTAGGGGTGAGATGGAGTCAAAAGGACGGCAGGTCAGCTGGAATGATGAGAACAGCAGTGGAGAGCCTTTAAAAGTGCCTTGGACTGGACCGATTACCTTCTAAATGCCGGCGCCCGGAAAAATCACTAACACCCTTTGGACTTACGTATTTCCATCTTTGTAAAATGGGAACCTACCTCGCAAGGGATGTTGCAACAATCGAAGAAAACTATGCACAATGCTTGACATCCAGTGGGTCCTCAGTAAATAGCCTAAGAAGGAAGCAAGGTTATGGTTACTTCTGGAAGAGGTGGCTTGGGGGCTGCGACAGGTGCAGCGATTGCCTGATGATAACATCTAGAAAAGCCCTTGCTGGGCAGAGGGGCAGCCGACGACCCCCGCCACTCAGCGAGTCTCCAGGTTTCCCGGAAACGCTAGCTCCAGTGACTTCTCAGATGCCCCTATGGGACCCCACCCAGGGCTGCCGCCGCCACCACCTACTGCAGCCGAAGCGGATGCACCTCGCGACTTTCCCCGCAGCCGCTGCCGGGGCCACAGCGAGGTCATGACGCCCGTGACGCATACGCAGCCAGCACGCACGCGCGCGGCGTGGCCCGCCCCCCCCTCCCACCCCGGAGGCGGGGCCGTGAGTCCCGGGCTCCGCCCCGGAGCGTCGGGCCCCTCCCCGGGCCCCGCCTCCAGCTCGCCTAGGACCGCTTGGAGCCGGCAGCTCGCCTGCCAAACCCGGCTGGGAACGCCTGGCAGCTTTTAGGAGGGGGCGGGCCCGGGGGTGGTGGCCCCAGGAGCGGTTGCCGCGGGGACCGGGCAGTGACGCGGCCCAAGGGCGGAAGTGAGAAAGTTGTCTGCGTCTCGAGGCGAGTTGGCGGAGCTGTGCGCGCGGCGGGGCGATGGGGGGCTCGGGCAGTCGCCTGTCCAAGGAGCTGCTGGCCGAGTACCAGGTGCGCGGGACGCCTGGCCCTGGGGAGCTCGCGTGCGGGCCTCTTCTCGGGAGCAGGGTCCGGGAGCTGGCTGCGGGGCGGCCGCGGCCTCCCAGCGGTCCGCTAATCCCCGCTCTGGCTTTGCCTTCCAGGACTTGACGTTCCTGACGAAGCAGGAGATCCTCCTGTAAGTGCTGCCTTGAACCCTGCCTCCGACCCCGGGATCCTCTAGAGACAGCTTCGGGGGCGCTGTCCCGAGGGAGGGGCGGGGGCTGGCCTGAGGTCTGCAGAGGAGCGGGAGCTGGAGGCCGGGAGACCTAGCCCGGGCTGCGCCCTCCTCCCGGCACGCCCTCCCCGCCCTCGCCTGAGGCCCCAGCGTGGCACCGCGGAGCCACCTTACAGCCTCCAGGAAAAGTTAGGCGCTCTTTGACCCTGGGCTCCACTAGCTTCAGCACTGCCGAACTTCCTGCCCCAGTCCGGCAGGGGCCGACCTTGCCCAGTGGCTAAACCACAGAAGCCTTGGGGAGCCCGGCTCCTTCTCCCAACTTTACCTGAATAATACAGTAACCGTTATCGCTTTCTGAGCACTCACCATGTGCCAGGGACTGTGCTAAATGGTTGCCTGCGTTACCTAATTTAATCTTTAGGAGAGAGGTACTGGACAATGAAACAGGTTCAGAAAGGTTTGGTAACTGCTTAAGACAACACTCTGAGTAAGTAGATTTGAACTTGGGCTGGAAGCCCTTTTGCCGGATTTATGCAGGCCAGGTTCCTGTGGCAAAGATAAGCTCATGGGAAGGAGGTGGAGGCCGAGGAGGACAGTTCAGTGTGGTTGCTAAAAAGGAGGCTTTGAGGGTAAGAGATCCCTGGAGTGAAGGTGAGAATGAGATTTTTGGTTTTGCTCTTTTCTCCGTTTTTTTTTTTTTGAGACAGCGTCTCGCTCTGTCGCCCAGGCTGGAGTGCTGGGGCACGATCTTGGCTCACTGCAGGCTCTGCCTCCGGGTTCAAGTGATTCTCCTGCCTCCGGGTTCAAGTGATTCTCCTGCCTCAGCCTCCTGAGTAGCTGGGATTATAGGCACCCGCCACCATGCCCGGCTAATTTTTGTATTTTTAGTAGAGAAGGGGTTCACCATGTTGCTCAGACTGGTCTCAGACGCCTGACCTCCAAAGCTCCGCCCGCCTTGGCCTCCCAAAGTGCTGGGATTACAGGTGTGAGCCACCGTGCCTGGCCAATTCTTTAGGGCCAACTTCTGGCTCCTTTCCCAACTTCTTCATCCCTTGGGGATCTCTAGAATCAGTGCCAAGCACATAGTAAATGCTCAGTAAATACTCATTGCAAGAATAGACTCCTAGGCTGTACTGCCTTGTGACATGTCCTTTTGCTTACCGTTGCCTGATGACTCGGAAGTTCTGTGTACGTGGTTTTAGCTCCTCACCTGGTTGACAATGAGCAGCAGGCAAGGAGTGGGAATGAACACACAGGGAGACCGATCGCTGAGAACACCGACAGTTCCCCTCTCTCTACCAGAGCCCACAGGCGGTTTTGTGAGCTGCTTCCCCAGGAGCAGCGGAGCGTGGAGTCGTCACTTCGGGCACAAGTGCCCTTCGAGCAGATTCTCAGCCTTCCAGAGCTCAAGGTGCAAGCGCTCCCCTCCTTTGACACCTCTCCCACCACTCCCTCCCTGCTAGACCCCCTAACTCCATCTGCCACTAGCTTTGGGATCATGGGGTCACTGGTCCCCACTCTGGTCATTTTTCTGCTTAGTTCTGATTTTCTAGGGGCAAGGACTTTACCAAAATCACCTGGCAGAATTATCTAGAATGGTGCTTTTCAAATGGGGATTCTAGAACATAATCTTGGAAGTTCAAAGAAGTTTTGTCCCTTAAGAGGAGTTGAGGTACCTCATTAGAGTTTGAGGAACCGTGTTCTAGAGGCTGATTGCCACTCCGTAAGGCTGCTGCAAAATTTCTGTGCAAAGGGCCTGGCCCGGTGCCTGTAACACAATAGCTGTTCAAGTAAATATTTGTGTTTTAAAATAACCAGCCCATCTCGTTCCCTTTGTTTAGGATGACTTCTTCTTCCCTCTCTGCCCACACTTACGTTGTATGTGACCTGCCTTTGGGTTAAACACTTGACTCCCAGGAAGCCATCTCAGTCCCTTCCCCAGCTGGGTCAGTTTGCTTTCCTGTGCCCCCACTGCCCTCCATGTTGGCCCCAAAGCACTGACTGTTCACCCCCACGAGGCTGAGCTCGCTGGTGCTGGTCCTGTGACCTGCTCTCTCAAGTTTCTGGTAGGCTTTAATGAGCGTGTGACCTGGGCCACGTCCTGTGGCGTTTGTTCTCCTAGGCCAACCCCTTCAAGGAGCGAATCTGCAGGGTCTTCTCCACATCCCCAGCCAAAGACAGCCTTAGCTTTGAGGACTTCCTGGATCTCCTCAGTGTGTTCAGTGACACAGCCACGCCAGACATCAAGTCCCATTATGCCTTCCGCATCTTTGGTGAGAACCAGGAGCAGCCCGGCAGGACACCACCCCTTCCCACGTGGGCTTTGTGGTGGCCCTGCTTGGGAAATGGGCGCCGTTTGGGGAACCTCAGAGCCCCTCCCAACCGTGTCTTTTGGCTTCCTGTGTCTGCTCTCTAGACTTTGATGATGACGGAACCTTGAACAGAGAAGACCTGAGCCGGCTGGTGAACTGCCTCACGGGAGAGGGCGAGGACACACGGCTTAGTGCGTCTGAGATGAAGCAGCTCATCGACAACGTGAGCAGCTGAGCAGGCCTGGGAGCGGGAGGGAGCAGTTGGGGCTCTGGCCTGAAACTCTCCCTTTCCCAGATCCTGGAGGAGTCTGACATTGACAGGGATGGAACCATCAACCTCTCTGAGTTCCAGCACGTCATCTCCCGTTCTCCAGACTTTGCCAGGTATGACAGTGGTCCCCCTTCATTCTGGGTACCTGCAGGTTCCGACCTGCTGCCTCTGGGCCTAGGGCATGGCTACAGGAGGTGGTGCCAGGGTGAGAGAAAGCCCCAGTCCCCACACACAGGGCCGGCTAAGCTGGCAGTCTCGCCCCGGGCAGGGGCAGCCCTCCTTGTCAAGACCTCTCCCCTTCCCACTGCCATTGTCATTGCTCTGTGTTTGTACTCATTAGTAATAAAGGTTTAGAAGCTCTGACCCAGTGTGTGGGTCCAGAAAGCTCCCTCTGGATGTCTCGGGGAGTTCTTGCAGAGGGGGCTGACACACGGAACATAGCCCGTTCCAAAGAAGGGTCTAAAGGGAGAAGGGGGCAAGTTCGGGTTTAGTCCCTGCCCTCCTCTTCCAGCAGAAAACCCACCGCTTTTCTCTTGTTCAGCTCCTTTAAGATTGTCCTGTGACAGCAGCCCCAGCGTGTGTCCTGGCACCCTGTCCAAGAACCTTTCTACTGCTGAGCTGTGGCCAAGGTCAAGCCTGTGTTGCCAGTGCGGGCCAAGCTGGCCCAGCCTGGAGCTGGCGCTGTGCAGCCTCACCCCGGGCAGGGGCGGCCCTCGTTGTCAGGGCCTCTCCTCACTGCTGTTGTCATTGCTCCGTTTGTGTTTGTACTAATCAGTAATAAAGGTTTAGAAGTTTGACCCTATGTGTGACATGAGATACACTGGTATGAGGAAGGACTGGACTTCTCTTCTAAGAGCCTTCAATCATCCTAGGAATAAGCAGCATATCGAGCAGAGGCCAGCGGGAAGTCAAGCCGCACCCACGCTGGCTGTCCCCGTGGGAGGGTGTGAGGATGAAGGGGCAGCAGGAGGTGTGGGACTCGCCTGTATCCTGATTGGGGTGGTGGTTAGATGAGTCTCTGCATGCATCAAAATGTAAAGAACCGTACATCAGTAAAGTCTATTTTACTGCATGATCTGAAGAATTAAAAACTTTAATACAGGGCCCCCATCCCATCCCATCCCTTCCCTTGTGTCCCTACCCTTGCTAAACTGAATTGGGGATGCAGAATGAAGGGGTTGAGGTAAACGCAATGAACCCCCTGCCTCCGCCTATCAGTGCGTTAAGCTCCCCACCTCAGAGCCGCCCCACAGGGAGACGTTGCTGACCAGGCTAGGCTGACTCTGGCTCACTTGAGCCTGCAAAGAAGAGGTTCAGAACCTCTCAGAACTCAGAAGACTAGACCTACCTCAAAAAGCAACTGTCCTTGAAGAGGAAGAGCCAGGATTAAACAGTAATTCTTCAGACTTTATTAAAAAATGACATAAAGTGCATCTTATTAAAAAATGTATAAAAACCACATAAATTCAGGGCCCCTGTGCTGGGCAGTGTTGATATCCCTTAGAGTGGAGGAAGGTGAGGGATGGAGGGTGAACTGGGGACTGGGGAGAGGACCAGGGTGCAGTTAGTTCCTCGTGTTTGAGTTCAAAGATGGAGCGAGGGTGGATATGGTGGGAAGGGGCACACGGGTTCTCACGCAACAACGGAGGAAGGCAGGCGACAGTCTCTTCCCTGAATTCTGAGGGAAAGGCGTACATTGTCACGAAATCTCTCCTGAGCTCGCGCTGTCCTCTCGTGTGGCCACAGCCTGATACAGGCTGGAAAGGTCCAGGAGTTGGGTCCGAGCCCAGGACCTGGTGAGGGCCGCAGTGCCAACCTAGCCCTCTGGTCCCTGAGGTGGTGGGACGACGGCAGCAACAACTACATCCTCGGCTGACTGGCAAGGCAGAA